>NC_000012.12:29375077-29527772 GCF_000001405.40 Homo sapiens | reverse complement strand
GAGGAGCAAGAAAGTGGGAAAAAAAGTAATATTAGATCCAGTAAAGCAGTAATTGCTCTTAAAAACTGTGGTTAATAGTGGTGTAATTGACTTCAGAAGCTGAGACTGTGAGGACATCAATTGTGTTCCTTTCAGGAAAAACACCTTCTAACTTAACTAGCTTGGTTATAAAGATGTTTTTCAGATCTCACGTAGCCACAGATAGTTTTCAAGCACATCTGTGTTACACAGCCACTGAAGTAAATAGTGACCAATGCCCTTGGGCATTTGGATCATGACAGGTGTACAGTATCTATCCCCAGGTGTGGATGCCACTCTTGGCTGCCCCCCACATACCTTGTGCTTCTCCTCCCACAGCTACATTATTGCCTCCTTCTTGTCTGAATTCCACTCAGTGGTGAAGGTAGGGATTGTGTCTCTCACTCACTGTTCTGTTTCACTGTATACATGCATGGCACATGCATGGTGTTAAGTTTAACTTGACACAGCTTCTGTCTCATGTTGTCTTTCTCAGATCTTTTGATTGAAAAACAGAGCCTCTTCTCCCTCAAGGAATAAATGCTTTTTAAAACCTTTTAATTACCATTTTGGCTAAATGAATTACTATTATTCTACAGTGACCTGTGATCATATTTTAATTAAATGTTTTAAACCTTTGACATATTTGACAGGCTTCTTTCCTTAAATCAAATTTCAAGTTGGAAATGAAGTCTTTTTGACCTCAACTAACTTGAGACACTCTGCAGAGGCCTTCTGCAGCATCCAAAAGAGAGTTTATAGACTTATTTGACATGTTAAACTATGAGAAGCATTGTCAAATAAGTAATGTTTAGCCTTGAGTTATGTTTTTATGAATACATTATTAATATATGTTCCAAAATTATGAGATTCCTAAAATTCTGATATGTCTTGGTATGTTATCCATCATAATTATGGTTATTATATTAAATTATTATAGGCCACAGGAGAAAAAAAACAACTTTTTTGTCAATTACATCTTTAACCATGACCATAGTTAACTTTTCCATAGTTAATTGCTTAATTATGATACATTTTCTAAAAGCTCTTGATAAAGAAGTAAAATCCTAGAATGGCGTATCTTCAAGGAGGTTCACAGAAAGGATGAAAAGAACCCTGACAAGCACTCTTGAAAACAGGTTTCTGATAACTTAAAGATCACATTATTTGGATTAAGAATTCCCAAAACTCTAATGAAGAGACTGACTGGGTTATAAAACTTCTAACCCAAGCAAGACAAGAATTAATTGAATACCAAGAAAACACTTTGCCAGATTTTCATGCTAAATCAGCTCTCACTAAAATGTTTTAAGTATACAATTTAAATAAACTTCTATGGTCCAATTCAAATTACCTATGATGGCCCACCTAATAAACAGTGCTATACATCTGAATTGAAAAACAAAATTGGTTTTTGAGAGGATCTAAATTCAGTATTAAGCATATACTCATGGAGAGCCTAAATGGCCACCTGGTCCTTCCAAAGTCCTTCAAGCTTTCATTGTTAAAAGTTCTGTATGCCATCACTCATCATAGGAGGGATAAACTGATCCAGGTTACATTTTTAAAGTATTTATTGGTATGGTGACTATTCTAAATTGCTAAAATGGTTGACTAATATTTGGGTGGTCAAACTCATAATCCTGGGAAGACAATCAAAACTTCAGGTACATTTCTGCTACCTGATGGGCCATTTAAACATTTATAGAGAAATTTCATTCAACTGTCATTTTTAATGCGTATTTTCTGGTTATATGAAAGCTTTCTCATACAAAAATCTGATGGCTGTAATAGTAGCTAAAACATTATTAGAAAGTGTGTTTCCCTCATGGGACATTCCTAGAAAAATCTCTAGCAATAAAAGGCACTTGATTCACTGGACAAGTTGTAAAACAAATAAGGTATTTCAGATACAATAGCATTAGGCAAAGGTAACTGATTCAACTAGATTGTCTTATTCAAAAGTATTACAGTGGATACAGTGGATAATCAGATCCACTTCCAGGGGAAAACGTAAGTTGGCCTTTCTAAAATAGTCGGTAGAGGGCCCATATCCCTAATAACAAAACCTCATTTACTTTCTGGTCTGAAACTCTGATATGACTAAATGCTACAAGGCTTTAATACATCATGCCAAAGTATACTTTCGCTAGATTTAAAAAAAAAAAAAGGCTTTTCATGATCAGTGACTGTGGACAATCAAACCCTTCATGGTCTAAAACCCAGAGACTGGATATTCTGAAAATGATATCAGAAAAAGACTGCCCTTTGCTGAGCACAGTGGCTCACACCTGCAATCCCAGTATTTTGGGAAGCCAAGGCGGGTGGATCACCTGAGGTCAGGAGTTCGAGACCAGCCTGGCCAACATGGTGAAACCCTGTCTCTACTAAAAATACAAAAATTAGCCACTGGGTGTGGTGATGGGTGCCTGTAATCCCAGCTAATTGGGAGGCTGAGGCAGGAGAATCGCCTGAACCCAGGAGACGGAGGTTGCGGTGAGCTGAGATCCTGCCATTGCACTCCAGCCTGGGTGACAGAGCAAAACTCCATCTCAAAAAAAAAAAAAAAAAAAAAAAAAAAAAAAAAAAAAAAAAAGACTGCCCTTGCCACCCACACTACAGCAAAACTTTGGGACCTCAAAGCTTAGGTTCATAATCTCACAACTGAAAAGGGCCCTCCAGACTCTTTGACCTATACACCCATTTGAAACCTTAAGATAAAGCTAATCAGGAAAGTTTCTCCCCAAAACAAATGGCATCCTAGACATGGACAGCTTTCCCAAGATCACAGATCAAGACTTTTCTGCTATCATCAGACTCTTACCTCTCTTAATTTTTTCCTTGCTTATGCCTCTATAAACAATAAAACTAAAAAGGGAGATTTGTGTACATCATGAGGTATAACTTTATTTGTAGAGGACTTTGCAGCCAGCATTATACATTGACAGTCTTATGCCTGGGTAGAAAAGATTCAGGACCAATGTGAGCAAAAACATTTAATGGCATCTTTATTCTTCCATAATCAGTCAGAACCAGAACATTGGTTCATTCCTTTTAACCTACATCATAGGTTTAAAACAACACTGCCAGGGGCCTTCACTCTTCTAGTGAAGTTTAAACATGGAGTTTCTTTACACTCTTCTAGACATAATTCTTAGGCCCCTTTTCCCATAATTTAAAGGAGATAATGATTACAATTCATCCCTCATAATAGGCTCCATAACAGATTGTACTACAAAGACTGATTACACAAAAGTCATCTTTAAATTCTCTTGCTAAGGTTGTGCTGGATAATAAAATTACTCTAGATTGTCTACTGGATAAACAGAAAAAAATCTGTACCATTACTGACTCTATTTGTTACATGTAAATAAATGCATTGACTATTACAGAGATTTGGTTGTAGGGTATTAATAAACAGACTGCTTGATTAAAACAAGTAGACTCCTTTTCTGGCTCATTCTTTGATCTATTTCATTTTAGTTGGTTTGGTTCATGGAGATGCTGACTAAGGAGCATACTCCAAACTCTTGATTTGATCTTCTTGATCATTATAATTGTCTCTCTGGCACACTATGTTCCCTCAAAAGTTTTCAATGGTTACATACAGCCATTTGTAAAATGTCAAATGGTCTCTCTTTAATTGAGATGACAAAAACTCAAAAAAGAGTGTTCTCATAAAGACATCATAACCAATAAATGATGTACTGAGACCAAAACCCTAAAATAATGGTAACTGAGAATGGCGTTAAAAGCCTAATGGTCACACTCACCTAAGTAAAATCATAACCAAAAGGAAGAAACTGTTAAACAAAATTAGGAGATGCCATTATTTTGGACTGAGTTCATACAATAGGCCCCAGCAGACCAGACCAAACCAAAATAGAGTCACTCATGCTAAGTGTGACATAATCAAATTAAAATTTTTTAAAAAAATCCTAAACAGGTAAGTCCTAAAATAGACGCGAATTTTCTTTCTGCCCTCCAAAAAACAAGAGATTCCAACACAGAGAGGTCCCCTGTACTCTCTTTCAAAAAAATAACCTAAAAAAACCATCTTACAAAGCTCACTGTTCTGCTATTTCCCAGTAAAACTTAAGACCAAATAAGTGCCTTTACGATAGTGGTAGAGTGAAATCAATGCCTACAGTTTTGGTTCACCTCTCAATTTTGAGGGGAGCATTGTTAAATGTAGCCTAAAACTGCCTCCTTACATATTTTAAGCTTGCCCTAAAAGTTTCTCTGTACCTAGTAAACTGTAACCTAACTGGATGCATAAACAGACCACCTTGTGCCTATTTCTCTCCTACCAATCAGCCAATCAAGACAGCCAGCTGTTCAAACTATGTTCAAGTGAGACAAACACTGAGCTGTAACCAATTCAGCCATTTCTGTACCTCACTTCTGTTTTCTGTAAGTCGCTTTCCTTTTTCTGTCTGTAAATCCTCCCTGACCACATGGCAGTGGCAAAGTCTCCTTGAACCTGTTCTGGTTCAGGGGGTTGCCCAATCTGTGAACTCTTTCTTGCTCAAATAAACTTTGTTACATTTAATTTGTCTAAAGTTTTTCTTTTAACAATGGTGTTCGTGAAATATTTGTCAAGGAAAGGGAGGGAGGGACAGGTTGGATGGATGAACAGATGGACAAATACCCAAAAGTGTAACTGTTTATGCCAGTCATGTTTGTTTATTTCCAAAAATACTGCTTTTATTCAGGGCTCCCCAATTCCCCATTGGCCCACTGAAAACCTAGCTTCTATTCTCTGTCCCCATGTAGCTATGAGATTTTGGATAAGTAAGGATAAAGACCAGCATGATAAACCAACGTGCTGACCATGTGCTGAGCATTGTTCTAAGTGTTTCAAATGTTTTAATAGATTTAATCCTCAAAACAACCCTATAAGATAAGTATGATTGTTGTCCCTGATTTACAGTTGGGGCACATGGTGGGTAAGAAAGGTCACACAGACAGTAGATGGTGGGGCTTGGATTTGAATCCACGCAGTCAAATCTTGGGAGCCTCGTTCTTAACCACTATGTCATACTTCTATAGCCATTGCAGTAAATGCATGTGGAATGAATGGATACATGAATATACACCCTATGGTACTCTCTAGATGTTAATTTTCTCAGGTTGTTATATAATTTCTGTTCTGCCTGTCTTCATTACACACACACACACACACACACACACACACACATTGTCAGTCCTTCA
Organism: Homo sapiens; assembly: GCF_000001405.40. NCBI lineage: Eukaryota > Metazoa > Chordata > Mammalia > Primates > Hominidae > Homo > Homo sapiens. Next base: position 29,522,540 of record NC_000012.12, on the reverse strand, counting down.
ATGGACGAGAGCTTCAGAAAGCTTCTCTTCAATAGATTGAAAGGAAATATTTTGAGACTTTAATTCATCTTTAAATTTTTTGAATTTGATAATTTGTTGAGTTTGGCAATTAAAAAACATATATTTAGAGACATGGATCCTTATTTTTGCTGGAGTGTGGATGAAGTTTGACAAACCACACCTTGTTCCCTAATGTTACTTAAATGTAGGAACTCAAATAGATGGCATTGGTCATTCTACAGAGTGTAAAGTATATGTCCCTTTCTGGGTCAAATCAGATTTGGGCTTCTTGGCTTATTGTTCAGCCCTCAATGTAAATATCTAAACACATAATCACAAGCTTAAGGTGCCACGTCTCAGGAAATTGTTGCTCTACATTCCTTTGTCATGTGTCTGGTTGAATGCTTGGTAGGAGTAACTTGAGATAAGGTTTTGGAAAATGTCCATACTCAGGGCATATATGTATTTTTTAAAGCTGGCATGTGCTTTGTGCCAAATCATCTTATTTTACATGACCATCGCAGCTGTACTAGGAAAAGATGACATTTTGTTAACTTGTGGGTAAATAAGTCTTAGTATCTGGGAACCTTTGATTAATTAATTTCACCTTCTGTATAGTAAAAGTAAGTGTGACATAACAGTCTCTAATGGTTGTGAAAAATATGCCTAAAAGGGCCAAGTGCAGTGGTTCATGCCTGTAATCCCAGCACTTTGGTAGGCCAAGACGGGCGGATCACTTGAGGCCAGGAGTTTGAGACCAGCCTGGCCAACATGGGGAAACCCCATCTCTACTAAAAATACAAAAATTAGCTGGGCATGGTGGCACATGCCTGTAATCCCAGCTACTCAGGGAGCTGAGGTGGGAGGATCACTGGAGCCCAGGAGGCAGGAGTTGCAGTGAGCCGAGATCGCCCCATTGCACTCCAGCCAAGGCGACAAAGTGAGACTCTCTGTCTCAAAAAAAAAAAAAAAAAGAAAGAAAGAAAAAGAAAAATGTACCTAAAAAGTAACTCAGAATTACTAAAGTTTGCTAAAGTGAATCTTTAGACAAAGAGAACACAAGGGCAATTAGAATTGGAGCCCTAGAATGAGAGATGTGGTGATCGACCTGAACCTTGCCACACAGGTTGGAGGTACACCCTTGAGGGGACATATAAACCTGTTGGAGGGAGCAGCTCAGAGGTGGAAAGCATGGACTGAGTATGGGAAGTAGCCACCAGTCTGGTGGGCTGTAGACATACTTCAAGTAATGAAAGGATAGGGCAGAGCCCTCCCCAACATCTGCATCTGCCTCCCCTCTCTACTTCCCTCAAAAACTTCCCAAAACAAGCAGTACAGTATATAGATAAAAAGAGAGTCATCTATCCAAATGCAGCTAGAAAACAAATTCCCCAGACTGCCCTGCCTCCCAACCACATTGCCACCTCTGAAAACATTCCACCATTTTTGCATCCCCCGTTTTCGTATGGAGAGTCACCGGGGTGAAGGGCATCCTATTCGAACAACTATTTTCAGTCCTTTTTCCCCGGTAGGCGTGCATGTTGTACAGGTCCATATCCTTCCAAAGGTCCCATTTGAGAAAACATCATCTTTTTCGCCCTAAGGGAACTAAATACAGATATGAATTTTGGGTATTTTGTACACAGTTAATATTGCCTTTAATTCAAACAAAGTTCATAGTGCCTTATCTCAGTAGCCTGTTGTATATTAGGTGCTTAGTAAGATTTATTTTTTTTTTGCTTTTCCTGCTCCTAATATTCAGTTATTGTTGGTTTTAGAAAGCTTTCTCACTTATTTTGTTTGTTTCTTTCTTTTTAAAGGAGCGGTTTAAAGAAGCTGAAGAAATATACCAAACTGGAATAAAGAACTGTCCAGACAGCTCAGATTTACACAACAACTATGGGGTTTTCTTAGTTGATACTGGTAAGTGAAATTAAAGAGAAACTGTACTGCTGAGATTAGCTAATACAATTTATCAAGCAAAATGGAAGGCAAATAATCCTCAGAAGTAAAATTCACTGGGCTTGGCAGGAAGCTCACACTATTGACAGTCATTATACCTCGGGGCTGTCATTTCTCTAGATCTTCAAGCTCGATTCAGTAAAATCTGGCCATTCTCATACTCATTTCTCTATGGAAAACTCCCCAGGGGACAGGAAGTAGCCTTATGATTTAATAAGTCCCAATCTTCTTTGAATATTATTTATATATATTTATAAATCCATGATGATGAAATGTTTCTCTACAATGATGCAAAACCTGCCTCTGAAAGCAGTTACTGGCAGATGGTAAATACTTTTCTATAACATATTTTTTAAAAGCCTCCAGAATTGTTCCATCATTCCTTCCTTGATGTACATTAGAAACTGCATTATTAAAATTGATACAATGCTCTTATATGACAGGTGCTATATAAAATACACTTACTTTATCTTACTTAATGCAAAACATTACTGGGCATGAATTCTCTTTTCTTTATGACTTATGTAGTGCCTCTGTACTGTTGGCATGCAATGTAAGTAATGAAATTATATTTAAATGTAAGGCCAAAGCACCACTTTGTTCTTGTTGATTACTAGACTAGCTGCCCTGCAGCAAAATTTAGTTTAATTAGTTTTTCAATATGAAATGCTTAAAGGGGTTTTATTTTCAAGGATATTTGGAGCTCTCTTGTTTTACAGAATATAAAATTTACATTCTGATACATCTAAGAAACTTACCTTATTTTTGCCTGTGTAAAATTGTTGTGTAGTGCCACCTGCTGGTTCATTGGCCACATAATAATAAACTGTCTTAAAAATATAAAAACTAGAAGAAACCTCTAGTTGGGCAGGTCTAACCCTCCTCCTTTTACTTCAACAACAGTCCCACCCCACCACACCCCTAAAAATGATAACTCTGTGACCACCCTATGACATTGAGCCTCTGCCTCCAGAGACAGAGGCTCCTAGGGACCTCCTAGTCAAACTTGTATTCAAACAGATACGCTTGAAAAGATTTCTGTGTAGATAATAGACATTCCATTCTATTTAGAATTTCACAGTGTTCTAAAGTGTAGTTACTGAATATAGTTTCACCAGGAAGCTACTTTGAAGAAACCTATCAGAGTAGAGGGCCTTCATTCTGCTTCTGGCCTTACTCTCACTTGCCTTGGGATCTTTATCAAGTCTGTTGAATATCTTTGCACTTTAGTGTCTATATCTGTAAAGTGGAAAATTTTTGTGTGTGGTTTTTTAAATATCTCTTAAATCCTGATAAACAGCTAAACAGTATCAAAAGGCAGCTAAATTGTATAAAAAAATACCTGCAAAAACCATACAAATGTAAGTATTTAAAAATATATAATGCATTGGACAAGTGCATGGTGGCATTATTATGTTGTAAGTCTTATTAATTAAGTGCCATTCAAATGAAAGTGCATGATTTTAAAAGAGATTTTCACTATAGAGCTGATATGTGTTATTTAAAGTAATGCTTCAATTGCTATGTTGAAGTATAGTTCATTGAGACAGACCCTTAGAAATTGCTTCTGGACAGTTTTATTTCTACAGTAGCCTGTTCTATTTTTTATATAATGAGAGCCAGTTATATCTTGGATAAATAACAATCACTAATAATCTGAAGGCATCCTATTAGCAAGAGCGATGACCAGAAAAATTTCGACTAAAATAATATATATAATTAAAACAATAGGTTTTAGTTTTTACTGCTTTTTTGTTAATTTTTTTGGAAGTATGAATGAACAGTGAAATTGTTCAAAGTTAGGCAATGGCCAGGATGAGAAGCTGAAATGCAAGCTAATTTGCATATTGAATAATTTTGGTATAACTCTGTAATAATGAGAAAGAATTATAAGTCAGAAGAGAAAGTGAAATGTTCATGTCTTTTATAAAAAGGCATGTTCTGCTCTTACCAACCTGTCACTGGTTACAGGCTTACCAGAAAAGGCAGTGGCCCATTACCAGCAGGCCATCAAACTTAGCCCCAGTCATCACGTGGCCATGGTGAACTTGGGAAGACTCTACAGGTCACTGGGAGAGAACAGCATGGCTGAAGAATGGTACAAGCGGTAAAGTTCCCTTTCTTTTCTTTATAAGTTGCCCAGGAACCTCAGCAATCACTCATCAGCTTCTTAGTTAATCAGAATAGGTGTGCTCTCAGAATACTAGCAAATTTTGCCAATTCAGGTGATACAAATTTTTATCTCCAAAGAAAGCAACCACAATATAAATGGGATCATAATTCATGACTTTGGCTTGCTGGTTAGACTATAGTGCTGAACCAAGGTTGAAATTTAATTCCCACTTTAGTCAGTTTGTTGTTTTCTGAAGCCATGGATTGCAACCCCAATCATAAACAGCAATTTAAAAAATGAGGATACATGAAAAACTATGCACACATGAGAACAAATTCATCATAATTAATGAGAAAGACCCTTGGGGCTCAGTTTCCATATTGATAGGTCAATAAGACATTCTTACGTTCCAACTATGGCATCATGATCATTTTGTAAAAACCTTGTTCTTGGCCAGGTGCGGTGGCTCATGCCTGTAATCCCAGCACTTTGGGAGGCCAAGATGGTCGAATCACCTGAGGTCAGATGTTCAAGACCAACTTGGCCAACATGGTGAAACCTCGTCTCTACTAAAAGTACAAAAATTAGCCGGGCATGATGGCGGGCACCTGTAATCCCTGCTACTCAGGAGGCTGAGGCAGGAGAATCACTTGAACCTGGGAGGTGGAGGTTGCATGAGCCAAGATTGTGCCACTGCACTCCAGCCTGGGTGACAGAGTGAGACTCTGTCTCAAAAAAAAAGAAAAAGCCAAAAACCTTGTTATTGATATAAAAACAAAGACCGTATTGGAGCAGAGGTTCAAACCATGGACCGTCTTCCCTAAATCTAAGCCTAGACATTTGGAAATGTACCTATTAGAAGAGAAATGTCATTTAGATTTTCTCCAAACTCAGCGCCCTGCAGGTGGCACACAAAGCTGAGATATTGTCACCTTTGGGAGCACTGTATTACAACACTGGCCGATACGAAGAGGCTTTGCAGATTTACCAGGAAGCTGCAGCACTTCAGCCTTCTCAGAGGGAGCTCCGCTTGGCACTGGTGAGTAGGATGAAAGAAAATGAAGCTGGCAACCTAAGCACAGGCAGCCATAGAGAGAGCTGTAGTCCTCACGCCTCAAAACTGGAGCTGGAATGCCGTAATATATCCACTGTATGAATATTCATACAGCTAATGTTAGAGCCATTCTCTAAAGACATGGACACCAAAAATACTGCATTTTTGTTTTGAAATAACTTCAAACTTATGAAAGTGTTGCAAGAATAGTAAAAAATTTACATATACCCTTTCATCCAGCTCCAATGATTTGTAACATTTTGATTCATTTATCACTCCATTGTGTATGCATATGTAGATGTATATGTACCTACATGTATATGTGTGCATATTTAGATATGTATGTTTGTATATACCTATTATTAGTGTGTGTTATTTTTTTCCTGAACCATGTGGGAATTAGTTGTATATATCATTCCCCTTTATCTCTAAATACCTTTGCAAATAGTTTCTAAGAAGGACATTCTCTAACATAACCACAGTGTATTTATTAGACTCAGGAAAATTAACATTCATACCAACAAAATTTTTATTTCAGTGTTTGGAACTTCACTCATCCTTTTCCTTAGATGTGCAATAAATCAAATTTGTTATCTTGCTGTAAACACACTGTTCTGATGAAATCAGAGGAAATTCTTTCTCTTCTGACTTATTTGGTCAACCTTTTTTAAAAGCCACAAGCCATTTCACTGGATATATTTAGTGTTTCTGCCACTCACTCACAAATGCATGCACAAAACTAAATAAAGAAACAAACAGCAAAAAGTCAAAACCTGAAAACTGGTGATTCAGCCTTCTCTATGAGTCACTAAATTGATGCTGAGCATGTTTGTCAGGAGTGCGTTCTGAATGCTTCTATTCAGGGATGCTTTATTTGATAAGGTAATGAAGTCTCTGCTAAGCCAAGGTCCATGTGGTTTTGTAGGCTCAGGTTTTGGCCGTGATGGGTCAGACAAAAGAAGCTGAAAAGATGACCAATCACATTGTGTCAGAGGAGACCGGATGCCTTGAATGCTATCGCCTCTTGTCAGCCATCTATAGCAAGCAGGAGAACCACGACAAGGTAAAGAAGGACATTGTTTAGAGTTCTTTGGATTCATAGGTTAAACATGGGGTGCACCTAAGTGATTCTCCAGTTTGCGTGTTTATAAGCCTGGGAAATCTTAAATCTTATCCGTCAGCATATCCTATCTCTTGGAAACTTTTCACAGATATCCCCTTAACACCTAAGATGTCCCCTTGTAATAATATTTTTCTTGGCTTATCTTTGGTGTAAAGCTTTTATGTGGTATTGTCTTAGTTTGTTTTCAGCTAAGTCTATAAAGATCAAGACCAACATTTATATGCTTTATTATTTTGTATTTTCCTTCTTATATATTGTTTTATGTAATCCTCATAACAACCATGCTTTACAGGGTTGTTATGAGGATTACATAAAACAATATAGAAGAGGAATATATAGGAAGATTACATGAAACAATATATAAGAAGGAAACACAGGGTGACCCAATGTCACAACTGTTATTATCTCCATTTTAAAAGTCACATAATCAGTAAATTTATAAACTGACTCAATGAAGTAATTGTTGAAGGCCCACTATGTCCTGGCCACTGTAGTAGGCATCAGAAATAAAGTGGTATGAAAAAAAAAAAAAAAAGTCACTGCCCTTGTCTTCATGGAGCTAACCCATAGAGAAGGAGATTAAACAGGTACTCACAAAACAAATGTAGAGTGATAGCTGTGCCCAGGAATATCATGAAGCGCTACCTCTCCCAAAGAGCATATAATCAGGGGACCCGATGAGTCTGGGAGGCCAGGTCTCCCTGTAAAGTGATGTGGAGGTGAGGGCTGGATGAAGAATAAGAGTTGTTAGGCAGAGGAAGAAGCAAGGAGGATTCTGGGCAGGGAAACGCACATGCAAAGCCCTGTGGCAGCAGTGAGGGGCCTCTCTGAGGAATGGGAGTGAGGGAGCAGGAGCACCGTAGGAACGCAAGCACAGGCTGCTGGGAGGAGACTCCTTGGGGCCAGGCCAAGGGTTTTGTTCCTTACCATGGGAGAAGCTTTGGGTTTTTGTGGAGAGGAGGAACATGATCAGATATTTGCTTTGAAGGGATCTTTGGCTGCAGTGGGGTCAGTGGGTGCTGGGGGCAGAATGGTCACTAGGACCTGAGAGGGGCTGGTGGGGTGGTCCAGATGAACACATGGTCAGGGAAAACGTCTGATGCCAAATCTTGTTTTCTTTCAACTGTATCACACCACCTCCCTGTAAAGTAATCAAGGATATTTTATTGCCACTCATCGATACGTGGGAAAACTGGAGTGTAAGAAAGTTATTTTGTCAGGGCCACTAATTCCCAGTGAGAAAATCAAAGATAATGAAGAATGTATATATATTTGAGACAAGGTCTTCCTCTGTTGCCCAGGCTGGAGTGCAGTGGCATGATCTCACCTCACTACAAGGTCCACCTCCCAGGGCTCAAGAGATCCTCCCATCTCAGCCCCCCCAGTAGCCGGGATTACAGGTGTGCACCACCACACCTGGCTAATTTTTGTATTTTTTTGTAGAGACAGGGTTTCACCATGTTGCCCAGACTGATCTCGAGCTACTGGGCAATCTGCCCACTTCAACCTCCCAAAGTACTAGGATTACAGCCATTAGCCACTACGCCTGACCAAGAATTGTACTTTGATTGTCACATACCATACCTGCTGACACATAGGAACAAAAAGTATAAATTTGATCAGTTAAATAAGTTTTTCTTTACCTAATCTGCATTTATTCTGTCTTAATTTCCAACCTCTGCAGGCACTTGATGCTATAGACAAGGCTCTCCAGCTGAAACCAAAGGACCCAAAAGTCATTTCTGAACTTTTTTTCACAAAAGGAAACCAATTAAGAGAGCAGAACCTTCTCGACAAAGCTTTTGAGGTATAAACTCATCATAAAATTATATCATCAAATTCACAGATTAAAATTAATTGTCTTTTGATCTTTAAGGAAACATGTACAGTAAGATCTAAGATCACTGGCATGTATGTTTATGGAGTGAGTGAGTTTTTTTTAACTAATTGACGAAGTTTTGTTTATTTTTTATCATTGAGCATCTGGCCCTTGACTGAATCAGAGTTGCGCATTTATTTTTCTGAATAATCATGTTTAATTTGATGTTGACAGCATTCCACATTTTGGCCTCAAACTAGCTTCTCTCTGTCTGTGTCTCTGCCTGCAAGACCTTCTATTCCAGCTGGACTAGTACCTGAAAAGCCTTGGACATTCCCACATGTCCTTGAAATGCCCTCTCTTGACTTGGAGGATGAGATTTCCACTCATCCACCAAGATACAGTCTTTGTCCTCCTGCCTTAGGAAGCCCTCCCTAACCGTCCTTATTCCCTGTGACCTTACTTCTTCTGAACTCTTAAAAAGCATGGACTGTCTCATGAAGGTACCAGTCGTTTGAAAGTGTCACATATTACATTGTATTATTAGGTCCGTCCCCTAACCCCCGTATGTGTGTGTGTGTGTCTCTGTGTGTGCAGGCACGCACAAATCCTTGCATAGTTTATCTCCCCAGTTAGATTGGACTTTCCTTGTAGAGAGGGACTGCATCCTTCTCTGTTCTAAAACAATGTTTTGCATCTTACAAGGTGTTCAGTATCTATGGTTTTGGAATAAAACTTATTCACAGGTTGAACTCAAGAAGACATAAGTAGAAATAGAAATGTTACAATGTTACATACTTTCTCCTTATATCTGGTAAAGCCACAAATTATTGAAGTCATAAAATTATACTAAATATATTATAGGAAAAGTAAAATCTCAAATGATACAATTGTGTTGGGAAATAAGTGAGTGGATTTTTAAATATTATTGGAAAACACATGGAAAGATATTTGGGAAAGCTCATTTGAATGTGAATCCTTTAATCAAAAACAGAAATTGTGGCATTTTTCTCAGAATTTGTAGGATTTTCTCTGCCTTTTCAACATTTTCAATATCGTCATTCTTAAGTTATTTATAACGAATGTGAACATTATTAATAACTTAATTGTGAATATGTATGTGTGTGTGTGTATATATATATATATATGGCCATTGATTCATAATAACAGCTGAAATGTATTATCACTCTGTGCATGATTCATATGTATTATGTAACTTAATCTTCACAAGAATCCTATAAGAAAGGCATGGTCATTATCATCATTTTATAGTTTTGTAAACTCAGGCTTAAAGGTCATATCTTGCTCAAAGTCACAGAAGTGGGTAAGAGACGGTGTCAGGGTTTGAATCCAGGTCTCCTACACTACATTCCCATCTTCACTGATATAAATTAATCCAAGAGACACACCCTTTTGGTTTATTTTAGCAGCTTTTTGAAGGTATAGTTTCATAACATTTCTTTCTTTCCCCTAAAACTGAAGTAGAGGAGAATGGACCAGATTTTATTTGATGGACCTGTTTGGTCATATTCTTGCTAATGAAAATAGCAAGGAACATTAAAATATGTGCACAAATACTTAGCTTTGTAATTAAAGGCAATACCCTTAACCTGTGGCTTTATTTCAGGTGACCACTTGAGACTCAGTGGTGAGCACACCTTTGATACAAAACATGCATAATGTTAAAAATATACCACACATCACTGATACTACATTTAATAGGATACATGTTATTCAGACCAAAGAAAGTGCTTGAGGGATAAGTAACTCTCTTTAAACATTTGAAGACTTTTCATGTGGCAGGGGAAAAAAGACTGTCTAATGAATAAAACTATCCCCTAGTAAAGTAGATGTTCTTAAAGAGGCGGTGATCCACTTTAAGAATTTCAGCATAGGCTGAACGACTAGGTCAGTTATATTGTAAAAGGGGATACTGCATTAGGGTTAAACTGTTCAGAAGACTACTCCAAAATTCTGTTATTATAAAAAGAATTTTCTTACCAATTCCATTTGCAGTGAAAAAAGGCCAGAAAGTACAATTTTCTTGCAGGTCAAGGCCAGTTAAAAATGATGTGATATAATAGAAATCACCTGAATTCCCTGCAGGCATCCTCAGTCTCTCTAAGTCCAAAGGTCAGCTCTGCAGGGAAATTATACATTTCAGTTTCCTCCACTTTAGAATCATCAACTTTGAAAAATAATAGAAATAAGCAGGGTCTCCTGTGAACTAGTAGCGGCTGGTTTCATTGTATTACTACTTTAAATTTTCACACGTGAAGAAAGTGGTTTCTGCAATCCTGGAGTTTGGAGGTTTGTTTCCTAACCTGAGGATATTTCTTATTTATTTAGAGCTATAGAGTGGCTGTGCAACTAAACCCAGACCAAGCACAGGCCTGGATGAACATGGGTGGCATCCAACACATCAAGGTAGGAGAATAATTCACTCCCATGTGGACCGGGCTTTCCCCCTGTGTTTTCTCTCTCTGTCTTCTTTCTTAAAGGATTGAGGAACTATTGTTAATTTCCTTTTTGAAATCATTTGAATATCAAAAGTATGGCAGTTTAAAAGTGAAATAGCTCAGTTTATGTTCATTTTGCATTATCTAGATACTGAATATCCTGAAGCTATTTTAAAAATAAATCTGTATAAATTAGATTTTATGATTTTTCTAACCATGAAGAAAATCATATGTACCTAATGGAAGTATCCCACAGCAGGTAAAATCTGTTTATGGGAACTAAATCGTTGTTCAAGCTCAGTAGCTCAGTATAGCTTAATTTCTTCCCAGTTTAACTCACTGTCAAGATTAAAGTGTTACTTAGAATATTACTTCCTATTTCTTATGTCTAATATACCTTTTCTCCCTAATTTTTTACTGGAAAGCAAACTTGTTTGTTTTGCTTTGTTTTGTTTTTCCAAAGGAAAAACACTACCTTTGGGTGAGTCTTCCCAAAGATTGAAAATGACCTTTGGGGGACTATTATCTGTAACTAATGCAATGAACGATTCGCCATCATTCATTTATTCATTCATCCATTCATTTTATAAGCATTTATGGCGAACATCCTATGTGTCATATCCCCTGCTAGGCACTGGGAATACAGTAATGAACCAAGAAGACAAAAATTCCTGTTCTTATGGTGCTAGTAGGAGGAGATATATTAATACAAGGAGGAGGAGGAGGAGATATATTAATACAAGGAGGAGGAGGAGTTGATATATTAATACAAACATACATACATGAATGTTTAATGCATGCATATGTGCATATGTATATGTATAAAATATATTAGCTGGTGATAAGTGCTAAGGAGAAAAAAGAGAAAGAAGATTGGAATGCCAGGCAATAAGGGCTAAAGTTTTAAATTCAGGTGGTTAGGAAAGGCCTCAGTTACAAAGTAGTATTTGAGAAGAGACCTGAAGGAGTGAGCCATGTGGCGAAATAGGGAAAGAGCACAAGCACGTGCAGAGGCCCTAAGGTTTGAGCACGCCTGTTGTTTAAAGTGAGGAGGCAGCGTGGCAAGGAGAGAGCAAAGAAAAGGAAATGGGAGAAGCTAGGGTCAGAGAGGGTGCAGGGTCAGATCATGCAGCCTTCAAGGAGTTTGTAGGGACTTGGGCTTTTATGCCAAATGAGTCAGGGTTTTTGGAGGACTTTGAGCAGAGAAATGCCATGATCCAACATGTTTTTAAAGAACCACCCTTGCTTAGCTAACTGATTTTCAGTCTCTGCACTGATAAAATAGCAGTGTAGTGATTAAAATTTGAACAAAGTCCTAACGGGTTTTACTGTTAAGTGGAAACTGATCACTCTTGGAAACACACACAAAAAAGATGACCTACGATTACACAAATGGGAGGGGTTAATGGGATAATTACCCTGCAGCTGACAGCTTTGATCTGGTAGGTGGTGAATTCAAGCACGATATTTTTCAGAGCCAAATTGCCCAAGCTCTGATCTTAATGATATTCTAGGGTGTCCAGTAGTATCTAGCTGGGAAACATAGAATGAACTTACTTTAAAAGAGTAAAACGATAATTTTAAATATTTTTAATCATATGTTAAATAGTTACATTTTCAAATACAGTCATGTGCCACATGACATCATTTTGGTCCAAGATGGATCATATATATGATGATGTCTCATGGTCTCATAAGATTATAATACCGTGTTTTTACTACATCTTTTTTGTGTTTCAGTATGTCTAGATACACAAATACCACTGCGTTACCATTGCCTACAGTATTCAGTACACTAATATGCTGTACAGGTTTGTGGTCTCGAATCCATAGGCTATATCATATAGTCTAGGTGTGTAGTAGTAAACTATTTCATCTAGGTTTATGTGGCTATATCCTATGATGTTTGCCAAAAGGAAAATCACCTAATGACGCCTTTCTCAGAAGGTATCTTTGTCATTAAGTGACAAACAACTGCAATGTGCTCAATATGTTTTCAGATGGAGTATATCTGCAGCTAAAATAATGGGTATAGTTGTTAATTAGAAAAAGTACAACAAATATACTCAAAAGTGTCCAAGAAGTCTGGAAATAGAGAAAATAGTATGTCTACTGCACTCTTTACCAGGTGAACCCATTGCTTTAAATTAGGAAGTACTTCCCTTGGGAAAGTGTCTAGAGATTAAAGAAGGATCTATTGACTACATTATTTTAAAATATAATTAGTGCTGAGTAAAAATTAGTTTATCCTGTTTTTTGTCTTTGTGGACATCATGTACTAGGCTGACCAATATAAAATTGCCACCTTTGCAGTTTTAAAGTGGTCAAATATCAGTTAATTTATGTGATTCAATCTAATGTAAATATATAAACAGGCACATGGCTCAGATGTGGTCATTTTGATGCCACTATTAGAATGCAGAGTTGTCCTTATGAAGCCTAAAAGATAATTATGAACTTTCTGTGTCTTTTCCATTGCCAGGTCATGTGTGCATCGGGCATTGTTACCCATTCCTAGGCCTCGCTCCTTCCCCAAACCTGGGGGAAGCTTAGGCAGGCCTGAGAGCTCCAGCAAGGTTGAGAGTTAGAATAGTACTTTGCAAGGAGGTTGCAGAAAGAGATGGGGGAGAGAGGAGCAAATGTCATAGTTGTCTCTTGCTCATGACACTTGGTTATAAAAAGTAACGCTTCTTATGAAGTTTTACATATAAGATGAAGTGAGTGGACCAAGAAATTATAATACATTTTTTATCATCAAAGAGTTGCATCAACCAGGCTATAGCACAAAGTCTGATTTTCAGTACTGCCTCATGACAGTAAATATGCATTTTCTAGAATGGTGCTGTCCAGCAGAACTTTTGTGACAATGGAAATATTCAGTAGCTGCCCTGTCCGAGGCAGTAGCCACTAGCTACACATGGCTACTGAGCACTTGAAATATGGCTGGTGCAACTGAGAAACTGAATTTTTAATTAATTGTAACTAATTTAAATTGGAAAAGCCACTTGTGACTAGTGGCCATCAAGTGAACACAGTTCTGGAAACTGGATAATTCAGATTTTTTTACCTAGCATCTAGGGAATTGGAGATACTGACTTAAAGGATATAATTATTTTTTAAAATAGGGCTTCTAGGCTGGGCACGGTGGCTCATACCTGTAATCCCAGCCCTTTGGGATTCCGAGGCAGGCAGATCACCTGAGGTCGGGGGTTTGAGAACAGCCTGGCCAACATGGTGAAACCCTTTGTCTACTACAAAAATACAAAAATTAGCCGGGCATGTTGTGGTGCACGCCTGTAGTCCCAGCTACTCGGGAGGCTGAGGCACGAGAACTGTTTGAACCCGGGAGGCAGAGGTTACAGTGAACTGACATTGCACCACTGCACTCCAGCCTGGGCTACAGAGAAAAAAAAAATACAGCTTCTAGTTTAGTGAAGAAAAGGGCAATTTGAGGGAGAGAAAAGGAACTGCGTTCTGTGTGAAAGGACAGAGAAGCCTGGTGATCAGAGAATAAGATCCCAAGGCACTTCACTGGGGCTGACATTCAGGGAGCCTCCTGGAAGAATCATTTCAAAAGCAATTGCAGTCAAAACAGATTTTGAGAGCACTCTTAGACCCAGAAATGTATAGTTGTCTGCATGTAAGTGCTAAGGCTAATAAAAATCAGAAGACATTTGGAAGACATATCCTTGAATTGAAAAAAATAATAATTGAATATAGCAAATGCAAGTTCCCACTTGTTCAGCAATCTGTTTAACTTCTTATCAGAGTCATTGTTAATACTTCCTTTTGTTGTACATGCCAGTGCCTGGATATCTAACGTACAATTTCTTGTGCTGTCATTTCCACTTTCCTTTTCACCAATATGACCAGTAAATACAGTAAGAAATAGACACTATTGATACAGAGCCTGGATAGTCATTAATAACAGTAATGTTAGTATCGTATTGAGCACTCACTATGTGTCTAAGCTTTTGACAGGTATTTGGAAGATAGGTAAGCACTGGATAAGTATTAGTTGTTTGTTGCTACATGGTGTCTTCACTCTAAGAGATACAATTTTTAATTGTGATGGAAATGTAGAGGGTCACTGGTGTTTATCCACATGGGAGCTATAACTAAGAATAGATGGAACAAATTCATACTTTTTCTAATGGGGGAACTCCAACAATCTTAGCTCTGAGAATTTGCAGAATACAGATCTAAAAGAGGGTGGAACGAATAAGGGAGGTAATACATCCAGAAGCAGAAAAAATGCTGAAAAAAGCTAATAGCTGTGACTGAGTTGCCAGGGACCCCTTCTGGGACCAGGCACACATGGTTGCTAGTTGAAGAATCAAACAAAACAGTTGGAAGCCAACAGAGGGTGGGGACAGTTGTGTTTAGTAGGTCAGGAGTCACATACCATACTGCACTAAAAGTATATAGCTAATGCATACTGCTGCAAACCTGCAGTAGTAAAAAATTTGACTTCACATTCTTATCAAGTCTTTTCATTGCAAAAAACTTTATTAGGCAAAAGTTACTTTTACGTTTTAAGCTGAAGACTAGAATAACTGCTATCACTAAACAGAGAGAGTGGATACATAAACTATTTAATCATTCTTCTTGCAGTTTTAAAAACATTTTCTCATCTCTCATTCTCCCATCCCCTCCACCCCATTCCCCTAACATGAATTTTGTGCCATGGTTCCATTTTACAAGGAACAGTACTAGCCCCCTGAGGACACCAGGAAATGGTAACCTCACACCCTGCATTAGTAGAATTGAAAATCTGTTTTTCTGCCATTTATCCTTACAGTATAACTCTCCTCTTTCACATTCTGCAACTGATCTAGTGCTTAAAACAAATGGAGTCTTCAAAAGCACCAATAGACAAGGATAAAATTACACATACAGACAGAGTTTCCATATGAGAACATTAATGTAAAACTGGGCAGAGGGTCAGTTTCTTAGTCTCTTCATTCTCTGAGAGAGTTTTGTGATGGATCAGAATGTAATTGCTCCCTCTTTCCCACCCCCAGGGAAAATATGTGTCTGCAAGAGCTTATTATGAGAGAGCCTTACAGCTGGTTCCAGACAGCAAACTGCTGAAGGAAAATCTTGCCAAATTGGATCGCCTAGAAAAACGATTACAAGAAGTTCGAGAAAAGGATCAAACATAGCACCACCGTCTGACCCAACCTCATAGGATAATGTGGTGCCTCTGAAAGGGGAGTGATGGAAGCCTTGCTTTCACATCAGCAGGGGCACAACTAATGAGATTTTCTCTCATTCCGAGTTCAGGGTGACACATTTTGGGACATCTGCTGGTAGCCCAGTGCTGAAGGACTTGCTTTTCCATGAAGAAGACGAAAACAGCAAACAAGGGCAAGAAGGTCTGAGAGGGAAGGAGAATGACATTTACACATTTTACAGATTTTTGTTTGGTTTAACTCCAGATTTCTCTTGATATATCTCTGTGCTTTTGAGACCTGGAGATCTAATTCTGTTTAGACATTTTTTGTCCCAGAAATACAGAAGCTTGAAATGCTATGAAGGCAGAGCTTCTATTCTTTATGGGATGAAATATTTCAAAAGAGGATAAATCCTCTGTGGTAAGCCATTTGGAAAATCCTACCAAGAATTGGCTTATTTAATTTTCCAGAACCAGGAATGAGTATCTAATAGCTTTTGTAGAACCTTCCAGAATATGTGGGGAAAAAGGGCTATTGCTAAGTGAGCTTTATCTAATATCCTCCTAAGAGTTTTACTAGTGCTTTTTTGAGGAATTACAGGGAAGCTCCTGGAATTGTACATGGATATCTTTATCCCTAGGGGGAAATCAAGGAGCTGGGCACCCCTAATTCTTTATGGAAGTGTTTAAAACTATTTTAATTTTATTACAAGTATTACTAGAGTGGTGGTTCTACTCTAAGATTTCAAAAGTGCATTTAAAATCATACATGTTCCCGCCTGCAAATATATTGTTATTTTGGTGGAGAAAAAAATAGTATATTCTACATAAAAAATTAAAGATATTAACTAAGAGAAATGTCCTACTTTATTATCTTAATGTTCAGACATCATGAGATTTATTATTTTTTTGAAAAATATATTGAACCATTGAGGAACCTTTATGATGTATCACAGAAATCTTCATAGATTCTAACTAGATGGAAAAAGAGCTCTATTTATTTGTGTTCCTAGGCTTAATGAGAATTCTGGGCTTAGAACATCAACGATTAATACCCAGAATTCTTTGTTTTGAGAATATTATGGAGAATGCTCTAAAAATCTAGGGTAAAGATCTAAATTCAAATTTTAAATATATATTTATATTTAAGAAATAGGAAAGGCAAAGTTGAACTCACAATTTGACATTTATTTTTAGTGTTATTTATTTCATAACTTATAAAATATTTAATATATACATACACACTCTTCTTTTTTCTCTGTACAAAGTGGTTTTAATATCAGCTTTCAAAACTGATCTTATAAAATGTAAATCTAAATTGTAAAATAGTTAAGTTTTAACAGTCCCTCCCAAACTTTGTGTTGATTATTCACTTGCTAAAGAGATGTGAGGAATCAGCCTTCAGTTTTTTGGCAGTAGTATATTTTGGAAGTGAAGAAATTGGAACACCTGTTTCTAATTTGGTCTTCATCATTAGAGACAAAACCAAAACACTCCAGGCAGTACTGTTTATAGTGCTGAGCCAGGTAGCACACAGACATAGTAGCCTAAAGGCTCACATAATTCGCATGCTCAGGCCAGGGCAGGGTAAAAATAGCCTTCTGCTTCTTTCAACCCAGTATCAGGAAGCACTACCCCAGTGTTATTATTTGTTTTGTCAAGGTAAGTCTAAATAAACAAGAAAAACTTCTTCGGAAGGCATGGCGAAGGGAGTATTTTAAATGAAAATGATTACAGAATTTGAATTAGCATGCATCTCTTTGTGTGCAACAGTAATCCAAGAATGTATATGTTACCACTACAACCATTTGTTTCTAATAGTTTTTTCATGTTATATAACATAAATGTATCCACAACCTTAATTAAGAACTATTCTTCCCCCAAAATCATAGTCCTAGTGTCAAGAAACATACTCCAGTGTTTATTGTAAAATAACAACCACACCCTCAAATTGAAAAAAGTGAATGTCTAGGACTTTATTACAACTTTTCAGAATAATCTGTAATGAAAACTCATGCTTAAAAATTTAATGGAAAAGACTGAGCCCCAAATTTTGAATAGTGATTACGCCTTACTTGAAGTGCTAATAAAGGTAGGAGAGTACATTTGTTGGAATAACAGAAATGGTGATTTCAGCCTAAAAGTTTCTGAGGGTAAAGGATCACATGACCTTCAGGAAACTCTCTGCCTCCTGTAGGTGCTTTCCTATCTCCCCCATCCTTCCCTACCCCTTTTCCCTTTTCCTTCCTCTCTTTTTCTCTCACTGTCACTCTGTCTACACACACTGGCATCTTTTGAACACTAAAAGTAAGCACTGTTTTTTAAAAAAGTAATTATTTGTTGGATCAGATACTTTTATCCCAAGTGAATACCTTCACTGAGATGTGGCCAATGCAATAGTTTCACAGTAAAAACAGTGCCTATAAGAAAATAGATCACATACTATTTTTCAATGATATTAAGTGTATTTTGTAACTATTTTCATTTGGTCCTTGTAACATGAAATAATACATGGAACTTACCTTTATAATAAAAATGGAGTGCCCTGGTTCATCATAGAGGTGCATCTAGTTTGCCCTTAATGGAAGTATACTTGCTGTGTGGATTGATAGCACCTTCTTGAAATGGAGGAGCTCAGCTGGCCTCATGGATGTGCAATTTTTGCAGTCCCACAGGGCCTTGCATACAGAAGCACCCCGAGCTCAGTTGAATGTCTGTTTGATTTTTTCTTATTTATTTTTTTGAGACACAGTTCCACTTTGTCTTTTTGTCACCCAGGATGGAGTTCAGTGGCACAAACATGGCTCACTGTAGCCTCGACCTCCCTGGCTGAAGGGATCCTCCCACCTCAGCCTCCCAAGTAACCGAGACTACAGGCATATGCCAGCATGTCCAGCTAATTTTTGTATTTTTTGTAGAGACAGGGTTTCACCATGTTGCCCAGGCTGGTCTCAAACTCCTGGGCTCAAGCGATCTGCCCACCTCTGCCTCCCAAAGTGCTGGGATTAAAGGCATAAGCCACCATGTCCAACTGAAATTCTTAATAATTAATAATTTTTGAGCAAGAGGTCCACACTTTCATTTTGCACTGGGTTCCCAAACAGGTCCTGGGTAGGAAGGATGGCTGAGGATAAAACAGGAGTTGCTTTGGCCTGGCTGAACATTTGAACCAATGATCAGAGTTTCATTTTATGATTGTGTTACTCTGAACAGATTTGCTATTTTTTTCCAGCTACATTTAGAGTTCCTCATGTATATATCACCCCTCTTTTTCCAGTCCATCTAACCTCTCCTTTTTTTTGTGCCTAGAATCAGTTCTCCTTGCCTTCAAAATCCCTGATAAGTGTCCATTTCTTTTTGTATCCTTTGATGTAGAAGCCACAAGAATGGCTTTAGCAGCTTATTTTAATCTTATGAATTATTCATTCAGGATTTTTTAAATGATTCAGATGCTTTCAATCTGTTAACAGTATTTATAAAACATGTTTCAGTGATACAACATAGGTGAACTAAACCAAAGATGCAAATGCCTTGGAGGAAAAGAAATTGTATTATAGAGAATCCTGAGATATATCCTTTTGGGTTGTTTAATTTAAAGCCTATCACAAAACAAAGAGAATTGTCGCACTTTAATTCCAACCTCCTGCAGTACTTCACAACCCTTAGCATAAGATTCTGAAATTTGTAATAGGTGGTACCTAGTTTGATGCAGGGTTTTGCAGCAGTTGTGCGAATGCCTCTGCGCAACGGCCTTTCAGTCAGACTAAATGAGAAAATCCAAACTGTCCTATCAAAACTGACCCACAATAACTGTACTCTGAGGCGAAACAGAGCAAATGTGGGTTTCCTGTTTTCATTGTAAAACATTCCAGGTTCTCAGATTGAAGAGCTACATTCAGCTGATAGTTGACATCTGTTCCCTCACACGTAGTGGCTCTCAACACGGGCTGCACTTTGGAATCACCTGAGGACCTTTCGGAATCTTCGGTTGAATCATCCTGGCTGTCCTGGTGATGCTTCTTATGTGCAGCTAGGCTGGAGAACCACTACAGGGCTGACACCTGGAATGGGAGCTTGTAACTTTTACAAAATAATAGATGTTTATCATCTTTTGCAATTTTTACTTTTAAGTCTATACTAAAATGAGCCAAAGAAGTCTTAACAATGATGTATGGCACAATTGGTTGGTTGAGGCTATCATTCCATGATTACAAATAGGTGGTTATGTGGGGTGGTTTTGCACTTGTGGCAATTGGACTGCAATTTGGCCTTAAAATGACACAATTCCTCGTTCTCAGATGGAGAGGAATTGCCTTGAAATTTGCATGTACCAGACTAAGTGCCAGTATATATATGACTGATATTTTCGTGACTCATAGAAGGTGTCCATGGTATAGAGTTTATGCCTACATCTCTATCTTTATTTTGGGCACACATGAGCTTTTGTTAATTATTTCTTTGTACTTGTTAGAATCTGTTTTTGAAAAAAAAAAAAACTTTTGCTTTGATTTGTGGTGGATTCACCTTCTTAAAATAATAAATTTAGAGGATATTAGGAATGACATTCAAAACAAATATAGTGAGAGGTGATTTTTTAAAAATTTTTGTTCCTGGTTTCCAAATTATGTTTACTTTGATTTGATTATATGTTGGTATCTCCCAAATATAGGTTAACTTAGCTATTTAAATGGTATCTTTTGACATTTAAAAAGAATTAAGTACCTGTCAAATCTAGCATTGAGGTTGCAGTTGAATAAGATAAAAGCTTAGGATGTCAAAAAATAATATAGAGAAATATTATAAGATTTTATGATTATTCTTGACGTTTTTGATGCAAAAGGAAAATATGCTGAATAGTTCTTCCAAAAAATATTATTTCCCTCAATATTTTATTTGTAGCCATGTAATTTAAAGAGAACAGAAAATAACTGCAATCAAAAGTATGGTTTAATATCAATCAAAGTGGCACAACAGAATTGATAAGATCTTTATAACAATCAATTGGCTGATATTAAAATATTGATTTTAATTGATCTTTTCAATTAAAATCTTTAGGGCCTGTAACTCATAAAATCAGCATCCACCACAATATATGGTCATTATTGGTTTGTAAGCATAGATCACCATTGACTCCTACCTGGAGAGACATGTCTATTTCTAAAAATCCAGTAGTTTCTTTGCATTCTCAGTAGTACACGTTGTATATATATATATGTAACAAATTTGGTAGTTTTCAGTATGTGTGATGTCCTTTGGGGGTTATTTATCTTGCTGGTCCATAGGAGGGGTACACTACCCCAAGAATCAAGACATCTGAGTTCTAGTTCTAGTTCTAGCTCTGCCACTGAAGAGCCACCTTACCTGGGGCAAGTTAGCCATTGTCTCCCAGTCATGTTTACCACCCATGAAAGGACTCGTCGGTTTGATGTTTCCATTAAGCTCAATGAGTAACTCTAATAGTTACTCTTGAATCTGGATTGAAAAACACCATGCATCTGATGAGATAATTCATAAATGTTGCCCCTTTTTTAAATGATACAACCCTAAAAGTGACTGAATTGCCCAAGTGCTTGAACATGGCAGAGGTAGTTACTCCTATTTTGCAGTTTGTGCACTTAAAAATTCCTACAGTGATTGTTACTTTACTGGGGAAAAAAGATGAGGTGAAACTTCCTCCCAAGGAATTAAAATATCTGTAGAAGCCATGGCTTGCTTTTATAATGTGGAAATCATTTGATTTGCTGTAATTCACGCAGATCCCTCCTTTTGTCAGGGGGAAATGATTTGCATCATGTTCTTTTTTCATAATGCTTTTACTTCCTGTTTGGATCAGTTGTATGTAAATGTACATTTTTGTTACTTTGGCTGTGCCCGTTAGAATTTATCTTCCATAAAGTATTTCTCCCATTGAGTCTAATGATGTATACTTTGCCTAGGTCTTTCCAAAATTAAATTTATGTAAATGTCTATTTTATATAAAATATGATTAAAATAAGTATGTCTGGTTTCAATCTCTCAAGTACTTCATGGTTAGTACCTACTGATGTCCATGTCACCAGGAGTGTCTGTTTTAACAATGTTTTAAAAAGGACCATCTTCCTTCCTTCATTCTTTCATTTACTCATTTCATTGCATTATTCTGTGTGCTTCCTGTCTGCTCTCTTTCCCTTCCTCCGCACAGTGCCAATTCAGTACTCACCCACTCCAGATCCGCTCCCCTATCATGCTTAGATGCTGTCACCTCTCTCTTCACAGAGTAAATAAAAGGTAGAAAGCAGCTGTCCCCCAATGCCCTGCACTTCATCTATACATTTACCTGCACCTAATTCTATCCTTTCTTTTCTCCTGTTATCGTAATGGAAGAAGAGGACCCTAGGTTCTGCATTTTGCCTCTTATGGAACTTCATTCCATGCCTTAACTTCTCCTTCATCTTTTTACTTCTTCCTTTTGCTGGCTCTTGTCAATTTGTCAGTTCTACTCTTCTTAAAGCACATACACAGGCAATCAACACCGAAACAATTTGAAAAAAAAAATCCTCTGTTTCATTTTATCTGTAGCTGCTATCACATCTCCGTCTGCCCTTCACAGCCAAGCTTTTCGAATAGCAGATCACAGTTGTCCTATACTAGTGAAGATGTCCAAATTAAAGACAGATTTGCTGTACATCACAAGTCACCACTGTCTGGGGGTAGTCCAGTCCACTCCTCTCCTTGGTATCCTTTCCTTTTCTGAAGTTATTTTAAACATAAAAAGAGGATTCTTCCATTTGGATGTTTTAATATAACTACAAACTCAATTTATATTGAAACCATTACTTTTTTAGAAAATTTGAGTCTAAAACTAAAACTAATGGCCTGGCTTTTTTTGTTTGTTTGTTTGTTTTTGAGATGGAGTCTCACTCTGTCACCCAGGCTGGAGTGCAGTGGTACGATATTGGCTCACTGCAACCTCCGCCTTCTAGTTCAAGCGATTCTCATGCCTCAGCCTCCCGAGTAGCTGGGATTACAGGCATGTGCCACCACACCCGGCTATTTTTTTTATTTCTAGTAGAGATGGGGTTTCACCATGTTGGCCGCCAGGCTGGTCTCGAACTCTTGACCTCAGGTGATCCGCCTGCCTCACCCTCCCAAAGTGCTGGGATTACAGGCGTGAGCCACTGCGCCTGGCCTATGGCCTGGCTATTAATGGTGTGTAATTCTTATTGAATGGCTCTTTTTCCACTTAATGGAAAGGCATTATTATGTGAGGCCTGTAAGGGACTAAACCTTTGTATATAAGAATAGGGTCTCAGTTGAAGCTGTGGGTTTTGAACTCTGGAAACAAAGGGAGTTGTTCTGTAACAGGAAATGAGACAGTGCCCCACCGCATGGAGATTCCCAGGTTTGAAACAAAGAAACCACAGAGTATGCTGCAAAGCTGTGTGCCATGGGCAGAAGAGTGAAAGGGGACAGCACCTGTGAGCCTCACGGAAGGGCTGGCCATGGTTTGACCAGCAACTTGAATATTGCTGGCCTGACCGTTCTTGCACAGCACATGTTCACCTTCTAGTCCTTACCCTTTTGTTTAGTAAAGGCTTTTTGGTGGGTTTCATCTTACCTCTTGCTAAAAAGAAAGAGGGCTTTGGGTCCATGTGGGGGCTCTGAGCTTTTATTGGAGAACGGTGTGGCCCTGGAGCTGGCATGGTGGTTCAAATGGTCACCCCTGTGTGATGACTACAGGGAGGAAAGTGGTGAGGGCCACTGTTCAGGTAGCCACACATCTGGACATTCCCTGGACAGTACTGAAGCCTGGAGGTTCAATGTTTTATTTTCACAGAAGAGCTGCTTACCTTAAGAGCATGCTGGACACCCCCTATCCCCTAGACACCCAGGCATGAAACTAAGGAGTCATCTACTCAAACTGTCATCCGAGGTGTCTTTCCTTGAAATAAATACTCAAAAGAAAATAGTGCTACTCTCAAGAACAGCACAGTCCCATAAAACTATTGGTGATGACAGAATGTTCTGTATTTGTGCTGTTCAATATGGTAGCCACTAGCCACAGAGGGTAAATGGACACCTTTTGAAGATGCCACAGCGACAGGCATCATTCACTTTTTTTAGTCTTTTCTTCAAATGGTGTCCATTTACCCTCTGCTCTCTCCTGCAGTCACAGAGGTCATTGTCCCCAGTAGATTGTCACCTGCTTGTACCTGTGCCTGCATTCTCTCCACCTTGACTGCCTTCTGTTTTCCCATCTACCTGCTCATCTCCCACCTGCCCCCATTAGTTTATGTACCCTCCTACCTCAAGAAGCTTTTATTTCTATTTTACATGAAAGTAAAATAGAGCACTTGAACGTAAAATCCTCCAACTGGTGCTGAAGGACTGGTGGCCAGGTTATTTGATATATATGGAATGTCCACTTAGCCTTGCCTTAATTTTCTGACAAAATATAAGACCATTACAAATTCTGGCTTTGTCTTCTAACTTCAGCTTAACTTATTACAAAATAATATTCATGGGAAAAAAAGTGATATCTCACCACTAGATTAATTTTAATCATCTTAAATGATGGATCCTACAGTTTTGGGGCCATTCTGCTGAAATGGAGGACAGTACTGCCACCCAGAAAATGATGTCAGCTCAAGCCTGATCTTTCCTATTCACTCTTTGAAAACTCTAGAGGGTCAAGGGCAACAAGCTTCTTAGAAGGGGCAGTATTGTACTAAGCTTCCTGACCCTCCGCCTTTCAGAAGTCCTGCCTGTGTTTCGTGTGGGGGACCAGCTTCATTGCCCCTGAGCTTGGACCGCACTCCCCAGTCTGGGAATTCGCAGGGCTAAGCGTTCCAGGCCACTGATTGGCTTGCTGTGGATCTGCTAGCAGGAACCTCTGCACACGTGTGAGCACCACTGTCACCCCTTGGGCCACCTCGTGCCAGTCTCTAAGGCTGGGTGGCGGGGCACTGTGACACCAGGGGTGACCAGAGAGCGGCGGCAGCTCACAATGATCAAATGATCGTGAAGAGGGACACCTGCGAACCAAGGCGCCACGGCAGGTGCTGCCCATAGGCACCGCAGGAGGGGATAAAGGGCGAGACCCCCGCCTTCACCACAGTTTTCTCAGCCTGCAGGGAGGGAGGACGTGCGAGGCCGGTGCGTGGAGGCTATGGGCCTGCTGGCCAGTGCTGGTTTGTTGCTGTTGCTGGTCATCGGCCACCCCAGAAGCCTAGGTGAGCCTAGGGACCTGGGCACCAGGACTGCGGAGGAGGCTGAGCGTGCTGGAGAGGGAAGACTTCATTACTCCTTGCCTCAGGAAGTCGGGGTGGTATAGCCACACCTGAGGCATTTGGGAAGAAAGGGTGAGGGGGTGGTGCATGCTCAGATGTCCCCAAAGGAAGGTCTGGGCCAGACTGCCTTTTTGAAATTTTTTGCATTTTAGAGTTCGTTTGTAGGCACACCTGCTAATCATGTGTGTACTAAGGAGCCTCCTCCAAGGAAACCTAACCAAGTAGAAGTAACTTAAAGACAAATATCTCCCTTCCGGAGTAGTATAGGTCATTCCTCAGTATCTTTTGTTTTGTTTGTTTGTTTGAGACAGGGTCTGGCTCTGTCACCCAGGCTGGACTGCAGTGATGCGATCACGGCTCCCTCAAACTCCAGGGCTAATGTGATCCTCCTGCCTCTGCCTCCTGAGTAGCTGGGACCATAGGCACGTACCACCACACTTGGCTAATTTTTACATTTTTTTGTAGAGATGGGGTCTTGTCATGTTGCCCATGGTTCTGACCTCCTGGGTTCAAGTGATCAGCCTACCTGGGCCTCCCAAAGTGCTGGGATTACAGGCGGGAACCACTGCATGTGGCTCCTGGTATCTTTAACACAACCTAAATTTGCATCTTCCCAGAGTAAGCCCCAAGTCACCTACCAGAGGCAGCGCTGGCTCCTTCCTGCCCAGTGGTAACACAGGCTGAAAGGGAGCAGACAGGAGGCAAATTCCGGTCAACCCAGGTGACTGTGGGATATTCTGAAGAAAATATTGAGAGAAGAATGTGGTAGTCTGCAGCTAAGTGCTATCAGAATGTCTGTGCCAGGCCAGGAAAATCCAAATGGGAAATCTTGGTAAAGTGAACTCTTACATAAGGCTCTGTGTGTGCACACACACATGCTCTTCTACACAGGACTGAAGTGTGGAATTCGCATGGTCAACATGAAAAGTAAGGAACCTGCCGTGGGATCTAGATTCTTCTCTAGAATTAGTAGTTGGAGAAATTCAACAGTGACTGGACATCCATGGCAGGTCAGTGCAACAAAGGCATTGATTTCTTAATGAGAAAACAGTGAAATATTTCCTTTGTTTCGAAAGCAAGAATGCACGTTGATATGTAGTTTTTCTCCTGAACCCCTCTAGCTCTCTACCAAAAAGTTTACTTCGTAGGAACTATCTTACTATCCAATTTATGTCGGTATTTTAAGAATATTATGTCAGATTAGAAAAGTTGATCTCCAGTGTTTCCGATGGAGATACATATGTGGGGAGACATATTAGCTGCATTTGTAACTTTCTTCTTGGGTAGGTCTCCCTAAAATCAGATGAGCACCACTTCTGTGGAGGAAGCTTGATTCAAGAAGATCGGGTTGTTACAGCAGCACACTGCCTGGACAGCCTCAGTGAGTAAGTTGTGGATTTCCATTACTTGTCAGGCCTTGATTCCTGGCTATGCGACTGGCAGATTTGTTGCTCTAAATAGCAGGTTCATTCTCAGTCCCTTTCTTACTTTTGCCTCCCAGTGTACCCACCCACTGATCTTCCTGATTCCCAGAAATGTGTGTCTGTCCCAAGATTCCCAGTGCTTCCTGTTCTACTGAATTAAACAATCCCAGACATCATCTATAATTTATGGATTTAGTGCTTGGGTAGAGGTGGTGGTTACTTACTGTAATAAAGCATTAACAAGAAATGTTAAATGGATGCTCCAAAGTTTTAATCATCTGGGTTTAAATCATTAGGAGGGAAAAAACTGCAGAAATTACAAATATTTGACCAGATTAAAAGAGGGTACTAATAAGAGAAAAGAAGGAACAGTTCTAGAAAAAAACTTCTGTATCCTGTTACAAATGGCATTGCATGTGTGAACTATGGTTTGTATATCAAAGAAGAAAAGGATGCAATATTTAAATACTTGACTCAGAAAAATGGAAACATGACTGAAAACTACGATTTTTTCTAGATTAAAAAAAATATGACCATTGGTAATACTCAATAATAAGGAAAACCTTCTTCAAAGACTCAGGGATGCTTAAAGATACATTAATCACTTTTCATTTAATTACATCAAACCAAGAAGACTTGCGTAGGGGAAACAACTACTTATGAAACATTTTTCTTTGGTTTTAGGAAGCAGCTGAAGAATATAACTGTGACTTCTGGGGAGTACAGCCTCTTTCAGAAGGATAAGCAAGAACAGAATATTCCTGTCTCAAAAATTATTACCCATCCTGAATACAACAGCCGTGAATATATGAGTCCTGATATTGCACTGCTGTATCTAAAACACAAAGTCAAGTTTGGTGAGTATGGAGAGTTAGAATATTAAAAATGCAGTGGAGGAAAACTGCTAATTATGTACAAGTTAACTTTAATGTCTGTGTGGCTGTCTAGTAATAGAATAGCTAAGCTTTGTTTCTTTTTAAAATAATTTTGTTCGGTCTATAACCTATTGAGAAAATACTGTATAGGCTACATGTCCCAGCCACAAATTATTTATGCTTAACCTAACAATCAACATTTTTTCCCTTTCATTTATTTCCATTGATACATATTAGAAGTACATATTTTCAGGGTACATGTGATAATTTGATACATTCATATAATCAAATCAGGGTAATTAGGATATCTATTACCTTAAATATTTATCTTTTTGTATATGCTAGGAACACTTGAATTATTTCTCTGATCTATCAAACATCAGGTCTTACCTCTTCTAAGTGTATATTTGTATCCGTTAATCAACCCCACTTCATCCTCCCCTCCTCCCTACCCTTTCCTGCCTCTCATAGCCACAGGTTTACCCTCTATCTTCATGAGATTCAGCATTTTAGCTCACACATGAGGGAGAATATGTGATATTTGTTTTTCTCTGCTTGGCTTATTTCACTTAATATCCATGTTCAGTTTCATCTGTGTTGTTACAAATGACAAGATTTCATTCTTTTTGTGGCTGAATAATAGTCCGTTGTGTATATATACTACATTTTCTTCATTCATTCATTGATGAACAACTTAAGTCCATATTTTGGCCAACTGGTATTTTAAGGACTCCTGTGTCTTGGCTGGGCTACATTCTAACTACCTACCTATATTCATCTCTAACAAAAAAGCTCGAAACATTTGAAAATATTTTCAGAGACTTCTTTCTGTCATTACTGTGAACAAGATCTCCAACACTCTCTCAACACAGGTAATATAAACATTCTGGGTAAAATACTAAAAGCCCCCTTTTTTTTAAATGCAAGAAAAGGAAGTGTTAAGTGGCCAAAAACAAAGCACAAGTCCAGAGTAGTTAGCCAGGCCACTGCCCTTAAGGGATCAAATTGATCTTTAAGATCCTAGAGATTGACCTGGCCATGAGAGGAGCTGTAAAGAACCTGGAACTTTCTGAAAGGTGATGCTTTGAAAGATAGGGAGAGGGAGTTGTGTGTGTTATGCTACATAAAGTGAGGGAATAAGGACACTTACTTGTCTCAACCTTGGCTCTGGACAGAGGGTTCTCAGAAGAATCTGTAATCATGAGCCAGGCCTCACTCAGGTTTGATGCTGGAATTGACATCACCTGTGTGGCACAAAAAACTCCAAGGCAAAATTTTAAAGTGGTTCCAGGTGAGTAATCAGCCTCTGGCAAAAGCAAAATAAATTCTCTGAGAGAATGAAATTTAAATCCCAGGTTTAATATATTCCCATAAAGTTTTAATGAATTCGAGCACAGAAACATGCAGAGAAATTTGCCATCAAAGAGAGTCTGAAGAATTAACAATCAGAATCAGACCTTCAAAGGTTACAAATTTCAAGATAGAGAATAGAAAATTAGTATATTAAAGTTTAAAGCAGTGAAAGTTACTGAAAATGATTGAACCACAAGAAACTATTAGATGGAAGGGAAATTTGAAAATAAGCCAGTAAAACATGAAAATATAAAAATGTAATTGGAATTAGAAACTCAATAGAATATTTATCTACCAGGTTAGATTAGGTGTATGGAACTAGACAATCTGAAATAATTACCCGGAGAAGACAGTGACGATAAGAGACAGAGAAGATAGAGTGTAGTAAACATCCAATTTGAAGTTTAGAAAGAGTATGGATATTGGTAGAGAGAGACTGTAATTCAAGAGAAAGTGGCTGAGGATTGATCATAATTGATATCCAAATCTTTAGATTTAAAAAGCTTAGTAACTCCAACTATGATACAAAAAATAATTATATATCTAGACATGTGCTGAAAATGTAGCACACTAAAAGAATGGATCCCAAAAGAATCTAGAAGGAAAAAGACACATTACCAAAAACGGAATGTTATTGACTTCTCAACAGCAGTAAGTGAATGTCAGAAGACAGTAGGCGATCAAAATACTGAGAATAACTCGAAGTGTATATAAGAGGAAACTATTGCCCCATTTTTTCTTTCCTTTACAGAAAACATCTATTAAAAGCCATCTATACTAGTTATGTCAATTTCGTTTCCTCAATTCTCATAGCTGGGTGTATTAGGTTAAGATGTCTGTTCCACATTTAAGTGGATCAGACTTTCTCTCCACTGTTCCATAAATTTGGTCTTGTCACAGTCACTAATGACCTCTATGTTGCTAAATTCAAAGTAACTTCGCAATTCCCATCTTTCTGGGTAAGAGTTTTTAGCAGAATTGCTCATATGTTCTTGGAAATATTTTCTTCACTTGAATTCCGGGAATCCATTAGTTATTCTCCTACCCTATTGTACCCTTTCTTAGTCTTCTATGATGATTCTTCCTCTTCTCCTTGACTTCATATTGTTGGAGTGCCCCAGGCTCAGCCCTGGACATCTTATTCTCTAGTTGTGCTCATTCTCTTTGTGACCTCATCCAGGATCAATAATTTAAACATCTAAATCTAAAAAACTCTGGATTCATCCTTGATTCTTCTCTTGGACACTGTACATCCAATGAGTCAGAAAATCCTGTTGGCTTCTGCTTCACTCACTTCACACTTTTGCCATCTTGTTCCAGGCAATACTACCATCATGTCTTGCCTGGGTTAATTTTAATGGTCTCTGAAATTTTCTCAAGCTGCTTCTTCTGTCTTCCTAATGTTTGTTATTAACCCAGTGGCCAGAATAGTACTTTTTAATACGTAAATCAGGTTATGTCACCCTATTCAAACCACTTCAATGGTTCTCCACTACATTTAGATGAAAATCAATGTCATTATTATCTGACATACCCTCTTTTCTAGTCCTATATCTAACCTCTGATTTGTTTATTTTTTTTTTTTATGAAACTAACTTAATCTGCTCCAGTCATCCTGGCCTCCCACTGTCCCCTAAACATATATGCATGATCCTGCAGCAAGGATTGTTTCTTCATCAAATGACTTCCACCCAGATAACTACATGATTCCTTTCCTCAGCTTCAAGACTTTGCTCAGATGTCACCTGCTCAATGAGACTTTCCATGACCATCATATTTAAAATGACATCTTCCATGCCATTCTCCCTAATCTCCAGACTTATCTCCTTTATCCTATTATTTTTCCATAGCATGTATTTACCACTGAACAATGTATTATATTTGCTGTTTGTTTCTTCTCCTCTCACCCAACACACAAACACAAATATATACACTCATGAGGTTCTACCAAGACAGAGATATTTTTCTTTCTGTTCATTCGTTGAGATCTAAAAGAGTGCTTGCCACGTGATAATTTGATCATCTTGTTCTACTGTCTTCTAACATTCGCTTACTGCTGTTGAGAAATCAAGAACATTCCATTTTTGGTAATATGTTTTTTTCCTTCTAGATTTTTTTGAGATCCATTCTTTGTTTTTAGTGTGCTACATTTTCAGCAATGTCTAGATACAAAATTATTTTTTGCATCATAGTTGGAGTTACTGGGCTTTTTTCTAAAGATTTGGATATCAATTGTGATCAGTCCTCAGCCACTTTCTCTTGAATTACAGTCTCTTCCCACCATTATCCATATTTTTTCTAAGCTTCCCAGGTTCTTTACAGCTCCTCTCATGGCCAGTTAAATTTCTAGGATCTTAAAGATCAATTCAATCTCTCAAAGGCAGTGGCCTGGCTAATTCCTCTGGATTTGTGTTCAATAACTGTCAAGTGAAAAACTACCCTTTCAAAACACAGGCATAGTCTAAAATGTTAGTACATTAGGGGGCTCGTGGTGTGCGGAACAATTGGCCTTATGTTTATCCTTGTTTTACTTTTTCTGCATTTCTCAAAATTTCTATAAATACAAAACGGTTTTATATGGAGGGGCCAAAACTTAAAATATGTCACCATTACATTTAGGAAGAAAGTGTAGAAGCCATGAAATCAAGAGATTTCACTTTTCCAAATATATTCAACATGGCGTATTTATCCATGAACCTCATGCCTTTGTTGTTTTCTCAGGAAATGCTGTTCAGCCAATCTGTCTTCCTGACAGCGATGATAAAGTTGAACCAGGAATTCTTTGCTTATCCAGTGGATGGGGCAAGATTTCCAAAAGTAAGAGACACCAAAATGACTTAATACTTCTTCCAGCTCTCTGTATGTCCAGGGGAAGCAGAAATAATTTTGTTGACCATGAGTAGTACATTTATCATTTTTTATAACTAATTTCTGACACAACGAAGATTTCTGGTAGTCCTCAGCATTGAAAGGCTTATACTTTTAAAAAGGCTATTCATATCACTCCTGCTGCTGCCAATTTGGTATGGCAGATAAAGGAAGCTGGATAGAGCTGTGACAGATGAGGAGGAATAAGGCAAAAGGATGATCAGGAAATAGCAACAATAGTTAAGCTTCTTTGTCTTTAATATTGTGACTTTTTTGAAAAGTCAGACTCGGAAACAAAAAGTAGAAGGGTGATTACCTGGAATTTGAGAATGAGAGAAACGGGAAGATGTGGTTCAAAGGGTGTAAATGTGGAATTGTATGACAAGTAAGTTCTGGAAATCCAATATACTGCATGGGAACTATAGTTAATATATTGAATACTTGAAATTTGCCAAGAGAGTAAATGTTAAGTATTCTCACTACAAAAAAGTTAACTCTGTGGGGTGATGTAATGTTAATTACCATGATTATGGTAATCATTTTGCAATGTATACATATATTAAAACATCACTTTGTACTCCTTGAATAAATACAATTTTTATTTGTCAACTATACCTAAAGCTTGACAACAATACATTGTGATTTTTTATTTTATAAATAATTTTAGGCAGGGCGCAGTGGCTCACGCCTGTAATCTTAGCACTTTGGGAGGCCAAGGCAGGAAGATGGGAGCCCAGCAGTTCCAGACCAGCCTGGATAACATAGGAAGACCTTGTCTCCACAAAAATAAATAAATAAATAAATAAAAAATAAAAAATTAGCAAATCACGGTGGCATGCCTGTAGTCCCAGCTACTTGGGAAACTGAGGTGGGAGAATCACTTGCTCCCAGGAGGTTGAGGCTACAGTGAGCCTTGATTGTACCATTGCACTCCAGCCTGAGTGACAGAGGGACACCTTGTCTTAAAAAAATCATTTTTATAAAACATTGCCATATTGACCAAAGTTTTCCTCTTTTGGGGAAACATTTAAGCATTTGTTTAGAGCAGCCACAATTGTACAATTGCCTATGTTACCTTAAAAATCTGCTGAATTTTCAAAAAATGTCCTCTGCCACATATCTGATTTTTAGAAGTGAATATGATTCACACCTAAAAACAATTACTTCTACATGTGGTTAAAAATCTGTTTGAAATAGTTCCAAACTTGTAGACTTCCCATTAATTTGTTTCCATGAGGATATTGTGTGCTAACTTATCTGTCCTCTCTCTACAGCATCAGAATATTCAAATGTCCTACAAGAAATGGAACTTCCCATCATGGATGACAGAGCGTGTAATACTGTGCTCAAGAGCATGAACCTCCCTCCCCTGGGAAGGACCATGCTGTGTGCTGGCTTCCCTGATTGGGGAATGGACGCCTGCCAGGTACAAAAGTGTAAACCAGCCTAGCTGTTCAGTAACATGTGGGTGAAAGTAGATTCTGCCTTTCCCCAAAAGAAGCTCATGTTTCTTCTATTACTGTGTCAAAATTCTTTTTCCCTTCATCTTTTCCTCTGATTTCTACTGAAAAAGTGTACTTGACCTGAGCAGAAAGAATTATTTCCTGTCTCCACGTCCATTCCTACCCCTACACTTCTTTTATTTCGGTGGGTTGGCAAAAGGGGTTAGTTTCAACGTGTGCAACCTAATGGAATCAAGCAAGATGACCACTTTCACAATCTTATTAGGCCTAGCTATGAATTCTTCATTTCACATATTGTTAAGCATTGTGGATTTTTTTTCCTTTGGTGCAGAATATATTTGCACAAAGTTTGACTGAAGATACATAGCTTTAGTCACTGTTGTGTAAGAGATATTGGGAATAACTACAATCTCCCAAGACTGACACAACTTCACAATGAATACCAATCTTCACAAGATATTTAGAGAGGACAAGGAGACCAATTTGTGAAACACATGAGTTTTAAGTTTTAGATAGGTCTTCCAAGTAAATTATCTTCTCTTTTAAGGTGGAGCAGTAAGGAGTCATTATTCTTGGCCAAAAAGCAGCTTGAAAATGTGAGGGAAGCTCTCTGAAATTATCTGTTGGAAGGATTTTTGAGTTTTTCTTCGAGGCGATGACAGGAGTTTGGGAGGGAGGAGATTGAAACGTACACTTATGCCGCTTTCTAAATTGGAAAACAGATAGGCTAAAGGTGCTTTTTCCTATCTGCATTCATTACAGGCAATCCTTTTTTGGATGAAGCCCTCTACACCTTTTGAGAAGAGTTTAATCTGACACAATGTTGTCTGAAACATAGTCTTAAAGCAGCATAGATTCTGGAATGTTATTGAAGATGCAATCCTAAAATCTTGGGTTCTTTATTCTGTAGCATAAGAGCCAATGTGGTCCTTTCCTTTCTTTTTTTTTTTTTTTTTTTTTTTGAGATGGAGTCTCACTCTGTTGCCCAGACTGGAGTGTGCAATGGCGCAATCTTGGCTCACGGCAACCTCTGCCTCCCAGGTTCAAGCAATTCTCCTGCCTCAGCCTCCTGAGTAGTTGGGATTATAGGCACCCACCACCATGCCCAGCTAATTTTTTTGTATTTTTAATAGAGACAGGGTTTCACCATGTTGGTCAGGCTGGTCTCGAACTCGTGACCTCAGGTGATACACCAGCCCCGCCTCCCAAAGTGCTGGGATTACAGGTGTGAACCATGTGCCCTGCCCAGGCTTTCTGTTTTTAAAGCTTTGAGGCCTTGAACTATCTTGAGGGGTCTATTCACTGATGCTCCATAGGTTTGGAAGATGACCTAGTCTTTCCTAGCAATTCCAGGTGACAAGCTATAGTAGAAACATCTATCTGTAACTACCTCCCTTCCAACGATTTTTAGAATGTACATGGTAGTTTAAAAAAAAAAGAGGAGGAAGAGAAATTGTTAACCTGACAAGATTGCAGCCAATAGGTATAAAGAGATTTTATCTTCATGAAAAGATTTTGCCTTGAAACTAATGATAAGGACACAAGAAAATGGATAAACAAAAAGCTGATGGACGATGACTAGTGGACTTCTTTGCCTCTACCTCTTTTCACTTTGTGATGAGTGCTGATGTTTACAGAAATGATGAAATATTTTACACTGTGGCTATTTTCAAATTTTCTCTTTTTTTGTACCATGAAAGGGGGACTCTGGAGGACCACTGGTTTGTAGAAGAGGTGGTGGAATCTGGATTCTTGCTGGGATAACTTCCTGGGTAGCTGGTTGTGCTGGAGGTTCAGTTCCCGTAAGAAACAACCATGTGAAGGCATCACTTGGCATTTTCTCCAAAGTGTCTGAGTTGATGGATTTTATCACTCAAAACCTGTTCACAGGTAGGTGAATTCTTTCTTCCTCATCTCATCCTAACTCAAGGGTAGTTACTCTGCTATGTTGCGATATTATCAGAACTAAGCTTTAGAACAAAGCAAGAATGAGGCTGGTTTTAAATTCTTAGTCCAGTGTAGATACTTGTCTCTGAAACCCTGAGTACAGAAATCTGTCAATATAACTTGAACAAACCAAATCCCTGTATAAAATTTTCATGAGATGCCTTTTTGCATTTACGAGATTTTATTAATAGACCTTGAGAATAGACTCATCAGGGGATTCTTTCTTCATTTTTTCAGTTGGCATGATTTTTCTCTGTACTACTTAAGAATACCAAAAATAAATCACTCATCTCCCACTTTGCCTGTTCAACCTTGTTAACTTCCTTGGCAACAGTGAAAAAATGAGGGAGGCCTTGGAGAGTTAATTTGGCTCTGTGACACTAAAATCTAGATTAGGAAAATGTGGGCCTGGAGATACCAAACCTGTCGTCTGCAGAATGAAAGAAGCCTGAGAGAACACAGCTTTCAGGAACAAGCAGTTGAATGCAGAAACCACACATTTTTTAAAATGACAAGACCCAGAGCCCCAGAACATAGTGCTCTCTCCATCCTCCATCGCTTTCTCATGGCAGTCCAAGGGCAGCCACCTGACAGGGCTTTTAGAAGTGGTGCTGTGGATCCTACCACAGGCCAGCACTTCCTCAGACTGCCACAGACTCTCCTTTGGTCTTAGATGTAAAAGGCCTCTTCACTGCTCCACTGCAGGGGAGCAGTTCTCTTCTGGTAGCAATTGTGTTCCATTTTGATCACCTGGAAGGGAAAGTTGACAAGGTTTAAAAGCCCTGAACAAATGTAAATGGTAACAATGAGATTTTACAAGAGCAATGAAATCAGACATTAATGGTTCATTTCAGTGAAATGAACACCAGAACATGATAAGTGATTTATTTAAATAATGCTTCCTTAGGATAATCTTCTAAGCTTCTCATCTTCTATTTGCCTATTTTTTCTAGTTCATCTTCCCCTATCTCTTTCCAGAACTGGCTATGCTTTGGAAATAGGGTTAAATTGAGTTTTCTTAACTCTTAAAAATCAGAGAATTGAATATTTCACATCTTATTTTTAAAACCACACTAACCAGCAAATCAAATCAATTCCTGCTTCCACGTAGTCCTTTAGCCTTTTTTAAAAGACATAGTGGGTTACTGACTCTGAGAAAAGATTCCCTCTGCATTGATTTTAGTAGAAGTTATAATTCTTCATATTCTTTTAACTTCACATTGTTAAAAATGTTTTATTTAAATGATTATTATTGGGAAAGGCACTAACTCCTTATACCTTTTACAGGTTTGGATCGGGGCCAACCCCTCTCAAAAGTGGGCTCAAGGTATATAACAAAGGCCCTGAGTTCTGTCCAAGAAGTGAATGGAAGCCAGAGAGGAAAGGGTATGTGTGGTTCTAATTAGAGAAGGAAGCTGACTTGAAGAAAGTCATCAGAGGAAAGCAAACAGGAGGATTGTACCATATTCACAATCTGAGTTTTATTTAAATTTTTGAATGTAAACTTTAAAAGCCCTGCTCATATTCATACATAGGCTCCAACATTTAAAACCTGACCCTGGCATCTAAAACTTTTGAGTGAATGAGGGAGACTTTCCATGCCATTGCTAAAAGCTGTATCCATTTATTTATTTATTTATTTATTTATTTATTTATTTATTTATTTTATTTTATTTTATTTTATTTATTTTGAGATGGAGTCTCACTCTGTCATCCAGGCTGGAGTGCGGTGGCAAGCAGTCTCTGCTCACTGCAACCTCTGCCTCCTGGGTTCAAGCGATTCTCCTGCCTTAGCCTCCCAAGTAGCTAGGACTACAGGCACCCCCCACCACACCCAGCTAATTTTTTTTTTCTTTTTGAGACAGAGTCTCATGCTGTGTCCCCCAGGCTGGAGTGCAGTGGCACAATCTCGGCTCACTGCAACCTCCGCCTTCCGGGTTAACGCCATTCTCCTGCCTCAGCCTCCCGAGTAGCTGGGTACAGGCAGGCACATGCCACCACGCCCGGCTAATTTTTTGCATTTTTAGTAGAGACGTGTTTTCACCGTGTTAGCCAGGATGGTCTCGATCTCCTGACCTCGTAATCCGCCCGCCTCGGCCTCCCAAAGTGCTGGTATTACAGGAGTGAGCCACTGTGCCCGGCAATTTTTGTATTTTTAGTAGAGACAGGATTTCACCATGTTGGCCAGGCTGGTCTCGAACTCCTGACCTCAGATGATCCACCCGCCTCGGCCTCCCAAAGTGCTGGTGCTGGGATTACAGGCGTGAACCACTGCACCCAGCTTATTTGACATCTTTTTTTTTTTTTTTTTTTTTTTTAAAGACTGGGTCTTGTTCTCCACCCAGGCTGGAGTGCAGTGGCATGCACTCTGCCTCCTGGGTTCAAGCAATTCTCCTGCCTCAGTCTCCTGAGTAGGACTACAGGCATGGACCACCACACCTGACTAATGTTGGCCAGGCTTGGTCTCAAACTCCCGACCTCAAGTGATGCAACCGCCTCAGCTTCTCAAATTGTACGTTAGCATCTTTATACAAAGGTATTTAACCTTACCCAAGACAGCCTAGAAAGAGATGGGAAAGTTGGATAAATGTTAAATCTGAAGAAGTGTTTTTAAAAGTTTTGATTTTGATTCAAATTATGGTGAATTCAGAAATGTTTTTAAAGTCTGTTTGCAAATACAATGTCTAAATCATAGCTTCTAAAAATATTTGCATTCCCATAAATATCGATGAAATGACTAATATAAATCGTACAGCTTCAGACTGGCCTCTGTATCATTTTGAAATGTTGTCTATGGGTGAGGCAAATGATCGGCTTTTTCCCATGTTTTTGAAGATTGTAAACCTCAGGGGACAGTGTTATTTGGAGAAAGTGGGAAGATTTGTTACCCCCATTCCAAAGGAGACTACTATTCTCATAATTGGTATGTATACTACATAGGAATGATTTCTGGGGCTTTTCCTCCCACAAAATGGGGCAGTTTAAAACACTCTACTTCAGCAATTTTTTTTTGAGACAAGGTCTCCCTACGTTGCCCAGGCTGGGCTCAAACTCCTGGGCTCAAGGGATCTTCCCACCCCAGCGTACTAAGTAGTAGGGATTACACGGGCATGCCACCACAACTTGGCTTATTTTGGCATTTTTATCTGGTATCTCCAGTTCTAATATAAAAGTATCTATTTTATCTGATATTTTTTGATTGGTGAATATTTACTCACTCATGTAAATCATCAACCTGAATAGTTATTAAACTAAAGTTTACTTGAACGGATGTGTTCAAATACTTAATACTAACAGCGTCTGGTAATGAGATTGCTGTGGGATTTAGTGATTAATTCTGTCACATTTATTTCTATGATCATGGTAATACTTTGCTTAGCATCACCTACAAGATGGAAAATAGTTCATGTCCTATAAGCTTCAGTCTCATTTTACGAATTTTCTACATACCCTGTCCTCTGAAATATATCTAAATGTAGCTAAAAATATCTTTAAGCTTTAGAAAATCTTTCTGCAAGTATCTCATTTTCTTAAGTGATCTAAATTCATTTTTAAAATCGTACTGAGACTTGAATAGTGTACTACAAAGATAACAGTTCTACAAGTTTATAATCTGGTAGAAAGAGCTAGACAAAAATAACTATACTACAAGAGGAAATAAGCTTTATAATCCATACCATCCAAGAAAGTGCACACTATAAAAGATAGAGACTAATTCTCTTTGGTGTGGTTTTTAAGGTATGTGTGGAGTGGTTAGAAGTGTGGGGAGAGATATAAATGTTATAGTGGAAAAGATGGCATTGAAATGAGGCGTTGAAGGATAGTTATGATTTTATAGCTCATGAGGTCTTTGGTAGCTCTAATACTGAAGATTTCAACAGATGGAGAGGCAGGAAGAGGTCATTCTATGCCAAGGGAATTAGATATAAGCAATGTCAAGGAGGTGGGGAAGATTGGGGTTTTTTGGGTTTTGAGTATCCCACTGTGACTGGACAACAATGTGAATGGGAACTGGGGTAGCAGTGGATGATGAGAATAGAAAGGATGATCGGGACTTAATTGCAGAGGACCTTGAGTTCCATGCAGAGAGATTAGACCTTATGCTACAACCAATGGGTATGCTAAAACTAAAATGATGGAAAGATTATAACTTTCAAAACTAATGTAAAATGAATATAAATATTTATTTCAAGTACAGATAGAAAAGATGTGGCTTAATTTCAGCTCATAATTTAAAACGCTTAATGGTCTAAACTGACTTTGTCTCAGGCAAACTTGTGATGATAGAATGCCAATAAAGCTTTTGCCACCTTTGCTTAAGCTGTTAGAAGGATATTTAGAACAAGAGTTTAAGAAACTCCTTTATTAGAGTCTCAGGGACCTCTAGGACCTCTAGGGTACAATGTTTAGACAGGGAGATTGATAAGCCAGAATTTGTCTGAAGGAAAATGACCAAGATGGGAAAAATTCAGAACAATGTTTTGAGAGGTATGGTTATAGGAACCATAATATTTTTTGATCCAAAGAAGACTGAAGAGGAGGAGGGAAGTGTCTTGATTTATCTTAGAGGCTACTAAAGAAACAGAGTTAGACTTGTTCTGAATAATTGCAGAGCTGAAAACTAAGACCACTGGGTAGAAGTTAGAAGGCAGAGTTCAATTCAATATTAAGTCATTTCTTGTTTGAATGATTTCTGAAATTAACTAGCCTGCTTCAGGAAGTAATCAATGCTCTTGATAAGTGGATATTTGAGCAAAGTATTTGTATATTGGGTAAGAGACATGCAGATGGCAGCCTACTTACCCTCAAACACAGTGACCCAACTTAGACAGTTAAGCATTTCAGAGATCTCTGCAAGAAAAAGTTTCAAGAGAAGAAGGGTTATTTTAGAAGTAAAAATCAGATCAAATGCCATCGCATATAGAAACTCAAACTTCTTGAACTGAGCAGAACTGTAGGATCAGAAGCCACATTCATAGTGGGTTAAGTGACTGTTGAAAATTTAGTATCCCAAATAATCAACAAATTTCTATTGAACCCTCAGGATGTGTAAGACACTGTCTTAGGTGCTAGAGATACAGCAGTGAATGAAACACACAAAAATGTTTGCCTTTGTGGGGCAAGTTAGAAGGTGGAAATGGGATAATTTTTAAAGATTACATATAATAGTAGAAGGTAGTAAATGCTATATCAAAAAATAAGGCAAGAAAGGGGGGTGGAGAATGAAAGTATACAATATCAGAGAGGGTGGTTAGGGAAGACCACGTTATAAAGATGATACTTGAAAAAAAGGACTTGGATAAAGCAAGGGAGGGAATTATATGATCATTTTGGAAAGGAACATTAAGGCAGAAGGAATGGTATGTGTGAGACAAGAATACACTTGGTATATTTGGGGAATAGCAAATTGACCAGAGAGCCAGAGTTGAGTGGCTGGAGAGGGGCAATGTGGCCAAATTCTTTAGGACTTGCGGGGCATGAAAAGAACTTTGGATTTTACCGTAAAGGAGCTAGAGAGCCATTGGAGGATTTTGAATGAGGAAGATCATGATCTGACACATTTTTAAAAGATCACTTTTATTACTGGGTTGCAGATAGACTGTAGGCAGGCAAGACCACAAGCTGGGAGAC
The DNA here is from genome assembly GCF_000001405.40 of Homo sapiens. Lineage (NCBI taxonomy): Eukaryota > Metazoa > Chordata > Mammalia > Primates > Hominidae > Homo > Homo sapiens. The sequence goes on along the minus strand of NC_000012.12, from coordinate 29,482,004 downwards.
CAACTACTGCAATAGTCCAGGTAAAAGATGATGCAGTCATCCAGGTAAAAGTCTAGCTTTGACCACATTTGTAGAGGTGGTGAAGAGTGGTAGGGCCGTAGGATTTGCTGATGAGTTGACAGTTTGGGTTTTGAGGGAGAATGAGATCCCCATATGAGTAACCTAACAGTTTTTAACCTGAGCTATTGGAAGAATAGAACTGTTGTCTGAGATGGAAACATTGGGGTGGTGGCTTTTAGACAGTAGGGTCAAGAGAGGCACTTTGTTTTGATAAAGTAGACTCAACTGTGCTTATGGACAGAGAGAGAGTGAGAGTCAACAGTCATAGGAAACACATAGAAATGTGAAGTAAGCTTTCTGAGAACACAACAAATAAAGAAGGTTTGGCATTGAAAAGAGGGCAGAATAATTCCTTTTCTGGGAAAGCAACAAAGAAGGTAATCTGTAGGAAAGTTGAAGGAATTTACACTGGATGTCTTAGTTATCACATGAGATTTTAATTGCTTCAACTTTAGTAGATGAAGTAGAGATAAAATAGTTAAGATATAAATAGTTTATAGGGACTAAAGTAAGGAGTCAACCAGAGATTAATAAGACTTTCAGTAGCAGTAAAACCCAATGAGTATTAGCATCTATTTGTACTATATTTCAATAAATCAAGACAAAAAAATTCATTGTAAAATACTGCTTCAATAGGAGAAAACAAAATTCCTAAGATAGGTTCATATAAGGCTGAGTCACCAAACACTGTCTTTAGCGTAAGGCTAAACAAAGTGTAAACCCACCCACATGGAAAGTTACATGCCTCAACCTTGGCAGTAGATGTAGGGAGAGGTAAAAAATTATTTGAGAATTTGAACTACAGGTTAATACTCGTGCAGATCTACCATCTAAATTCACACCTCAAGTATAGGCCAAAACATGTCAAGCAGAAAATTCGGCACTGTGAAGTTGACAGTGAGCAACATGACTGACAGAAGTGTATACAGATTCTGCCAGGAAGAACTCTTTCAATTCAGGTCTACAGAAATCGTAAGATTCCTTTGTAAGATGCATTCTAATTTTAGAATGTGCAAATGTGAAAAAATTGTGCTTTAGAAACGAGTATAGGGCCAATTTGCACAGTCAGTGACTTCTTCAGCATGCTGAGTAGCCTTAGATAGTGAAAGGGTTTTGTGAATTCCAACTGGAGCTAACTAGGAAATCATAAGGGAGACAGAGATAATATAAAGAAGGAGGAGAGAGTTACACAGTCCCTCCAAGCCTCTCTGTATTCTGGTAGGTGGTAGCTGGATTCTCAGAAATGACAGATACCACCCAGGTTGCCCTCCTTCCTTTCATATCCATGAGAGACATTGCATTTCTCAGAGCCTAGATCAGTGCCTGGCACATAATAAATGCTCCATAGATTATTTGAATTAATAGATCAATGGTTAGTTTGGGGACCCCTCTCTCACTTAGCTTGACCAGACTTCAAAATCCTCTTAAAACAGCAATCACTAATAATAAATCAAAGTTGGCATAGATTTGAAACCTATTTTTCATCTTTCAGCTAGAGATTTTGAGGACGAAAATAATTAGATGATGGAACAATTTGAGAAAGTACTGGCCTTTGAAGTCATAAAGCCTAAACTACAGTTCCACTTATACAAGAGATGTGATGAATCTTTTGTTATCAATGCCAATTTTCCCATTTGGAAATGGGTAATTTCTCTCCTGCCTACCTCAGAGAGATGTAATTAATCTCAAAAAGGATGATGGATGTGGAGTGCTTTTTTCCATTGAAGTGCTTAGCAAGTGAACTTTATAATATTTTAGACAGCTTATATTTACATCTATATTCAGGATGATGGACTTGAATAGAAAAACACTAAAGAGTTTCCGGCTGGGCATGGTGGCTCACACCTGTAATCCCAGCACTTTGGGAAGCTGAGGTGGGCAGGTCATGAGGTCAGGAGTTCAAGACCAGCCTGGCCAATATGGTGAAACCCTGTCTCTACTAAAAATACATAAGTTAGCTGGGCATGGTGGTGCATGCCTGCAGTCCCAGCTACTTGGGAGGCTGAGGCAGAAGAATCGCTTGAACCTGGGAGGTGTAGGTTGCAGTGAGCTGAGATTGCGCCACTGCACTCCAGCCTGGGTGACAGAGTGAGACTCAGTCTCAAAAAAAAAAAAAAAAAGAAAAAAAAGAGTTGCCAATTAAGATGTCCGGTTAAAAAAAAAATTATTAGTGTTTGCTTTTTGGAAACTGGGCATAAAATACTTGACTAATTCCGAAAGTCCTTAATATTTGTAAAGGGTAGTGAGGCTGTTAATAGGTCTAAGGTAAAGACTGCTGAATTTTGGAAAGAGTTAATTCCAACATGTTAGATTCTAGGTAAGATTGCTTTGCATTCAGGTGAAGGTGAGACATGGAAGAAGCTAGGATTTATGGCCCACTAGGATTTATTTTCTTGAATAATAAATTTATGTATGAAAATGAAGGTAAGGGATTATGTGTCAAATTACATAAGACTACTATCTCAAGTTGAGATATGCTTTTAAAAATGTTAGCAAAAAGTCACAGCTGACCTTACTGGGAGTTAGAGAGATGACATTTTAACCCAGAGACTGTGACTTAGGATGACCTTGGAATATGTGGCTGTTTAAGGTTAGCATACGCTGTATGGTCCATTCATAATTCATGAGAACCATAATTCAACCTCTGGGTGAATAGTATGAATTTTAATTAGGTGAATAACTCACATGAATCTTAGGTTTCTTCAATTTATACATCAAAATTCTAGCATTTTATAACTAAATGAAATTTAAGGGGTGGTTTCTGGTCATTCTCCAATTAATACTCATCTATTTGTCAGATAAATGTTATTAATTTGAGCACGAATTTTTCTCACAATGTTCTATTGCCTTTTATCTTCTCGTATTCTATAAAATTGTATGGTTGTTGAGTTGTGAGCTAAAGCACAGGTATTAGATTTTATTTAGCAAATCTGACTCTTCCATTTATTACATTTTCTTCACCTTCCCCTACCCCAGCTTATATGTTTGGAAAATAATGGTACCAGAAGATAAAATAATCCTGATAAAATTTACAAGTTTAGACATGGAAAAGCAAGTTGGATGTGATCATGACTATGTATCTTTACGATCAAGCAGTGGAGTGCTTTTTAGTAAGTATGTTACATTTGTTTTTATTTGTCATTTTAGAGTATCTGAAAGACCAAAGAGATGCTAAAGGATCTAAAATAAAATTTCTGGCTGCTCTGCCTATGGAGTAGCCATTATTTATTCCTTTACTTTCCTAATAAACTTGCTTTCACTTTACTCAAAAAAACAAAAATAAAAAAATAAAATTTCTTTTATTCTACCAAGGGCAATGATCTTATCTTACAGACTTTTCCCTTCTAGAAGGGTTAAGGGGAGGGAGTAAGAGTGGAGACAGTGATCAACACACTGACCATTCTTTTCAGTGTTTTTCTAAGTTAGGAACCAGATCCCACATTCCTTTCTCAAGTTCACTAACAGTATTGAATGCAATTGATGTCACAGTTGTCAGAAAACTTCCTTTTGAGGCAGTTTTTTTTATTATTTTTATCACAAAAGTGGGTACATGTTTACCAAATTTGGTAAATACAGATGAGCCAAAGGAAGAAAGTAGAAACCATTCATAACCCTGTCACCTAGAGATAATCTCTACCAGCACTTACAGGTGTATCTATTTACACATACACTTTGAACTTTACATTGTTTGATGTAATTTCCTTCTCATAACACAATTGATCATTTCATGTCATTCAATTTATTTTATTGAATACCTCTTATAAGCTACATAAACATAACCAATATATCTAATTTTGTTGAAATACTCTGTGTTAACCATGATAGAAGCTCTCCACAGCTGGTATAGACCTGGATCTCTAGTTCTCTATAAGGCCAATGGTTAGGACAAATGTCTCTTCACACATATTTGACAGGAAGTTATAGACAAAGTATTGTACTAGGGGTTATAATATTTATTGTCTAAATTATTTCATGCTCAGGCCTGCTATTTACACAGTAATTATTCTTTCAACCAATCATTTGTTAAAAATTAACTGTATATATCATAGCAGGTACTGGACGTTTTTTGAGAAAAAGCACTCTGCCCAAATAAATTTGTAGTTTGAGGTAATCAAAGGTGTAAAACAAAGTAGGAAATGCCATTAGAACAGGGAAGTGCTGCGCTGATTCAAAAAAGGTAGCTCTTATTTCCAGTGGTTGTCTGGTAGAGTTTATCAGAGAGCTGAATTTTGAGTTAGGCCCTGAAGAATAAGTAGAATTTGGACATGTGAGACTGGGGGGTTGAGAAGGAGACTGGAATAGCAAAGTCACTGAAGCAGGGAATGTTGAATGATCAAAGGACCATTAAATAGTTTAGTGTGTTTAGATCAGAGATCTCTCATGGAAGACGATGGAAAACAAAACAAACGTGTAAGTTTCCACCACTTTTTAGTAATGTTATTTCACTTTCCTTCTCTTCTTTTAAGGTAAGGTCTGTGGAAAAATATTGCCTTCACCATTGCTGGCAGAGACCAGTGAGGCCATGGTTCCATTTGTTTCTGATACAGAAGACAGTGGCAGTGGCTTTGAGCTTACCGTTACTGCTGTACAGAAGTCAGAAGCAGGTGAGTGTTTCAGGTATTTAATTCCTTGCCATTTTCCCTTGATGTGGGTGGGGAAGAGGAGAAAATGTCTTTGGCCATTCACTTTGAATTTCCCCAATGCTTCCACAGGGTCAGGTTGTGGGAGTCTGGCTATATTGGTAGAAGAAGGGACAAATCACTCTGCCAAGTATCCTGATTTGTATCCCAGTAACACAAGGTGTCATTGGTTCATTTGTGCTCCAGAGAAGCACATTATAAAGGTAGGCAACTGAGGAATCGCTCTACCTCATAAAGAATAGAGTTACGTTAGTTAGGCAGAACTTAATTCATCTGGATTGTTAAATTGCCATTATGACTAGGAGCTTCTTTTAGCCATTTGCCATTTTTTTTTACTCTGAAAAGAAATCTCTGTGAGTGGTTTTGAAAACTTTCAGTGGTTTAAAAGTGTATCCAATGAAAAGTAAGGCTCCTCATCAGATTCCCATTCTACCCCTGGAGGCAAACACTGATAACTTACTAGTGTCCTTGGGAGGTATTTTGAGCATTTACTAACCTGTGTGTGTGTGTGTGTGTGTGTGTGTGTGTGTGTGTGTGTGTGTGTGTGTGCGCGCGTGTGTACTTATGCTGCTTGGCAATGCCTTGGTCACTGAAAAATATCTCAAAGATCTTTCCAGATGAGCCCACAGAGCTCTTCTTAATAACTGCATAAAATATTGTATGATATTTCAGAACACATTAAACCAGTTCCCTATTAGCAGGTGTTTACTGAGCTTCCAGTCTTTGGTCATGCCAGCCATGGTGCCATGAATATCTGCCAGTGCCTTTGGATACATGTGGATATGTATAATTCCCAGAATTAGATTCGCTGGGTCAAAGGGTTTGCACATTTAAACCTGGTAGTCGTTGCCAAATTGCCCTTCAAAGAGACTGCAATTATTTACACTTCTATGTGAAGGCATATGAGGATGTGACAAAGAGCCTTTAAATACACAGAGGAAAACCCTTTAAGCTTCTCTCTTCTCTTCTTTGACCATTTCCCTGGTTATGTTTCCATTTGCACAGTTGACATTTGAGGACTTTGCTGTCAAATTTAGTCCAAACTGTATTTATGATGCTGTTGTGATTTACGGTGATTCTGAAGAAAAGCACAAGTTAGGTAGGTAGACTTCACCCTTTAAATATGAAAGTGTTAGACGAATCAGAGTAGTGGCAACATGGGCTGGCTTCCTTGGGTACCAGAACGTAGAGTGGGAATGTGAATTTCTTGCTTTGGAAACTCAGAATGCCATACAACTTTAGCTTTAAAACCTATGAGCCAGCAACTAATTCGCCAGTAAAGTTTTTAATGGAAATGTGCAAAATGTAAAGATTGTTTCAGACTGCATGTAAGGTGAAAAGGCAGTCGCCAGAGAAACTGCAATTATTTAAGGTAAATTTTACAGCTTCCTGCTTTCTGTATTAATTCCTTCTGTTGCTGATATTTTGGTATTTGTGTCCAGGAAAAGTAACCAAAAGCTATAATTTCTACGTGGGTCTGACAATTAATTTTAAGACTTTTAAAACTTCAAATATACTTTTAATCGTGACCTAACAATTTACTGAGTTTGAAGATTTAACTTCCAGCCCTCTAACCACTTTTTCAGGACCTAGTATCTGTCCCTCAGCTGGATGTTTTTGTGGGTTAGAGGCTAGGATTATAGATTGGTTTGGAATATTTATTTAGACATTAAGGGCAGGTTAGTGAGAGCACAATGCCATAATTCTGCATAACAGTGCATGTATAGTGTGAGGTTTTCATGAAAGTGACTTCGAGTGTTACCTCTCTTATAAAGTATGCTTATGTCCTCTTTGGAAGAAGGAATACACCAACTTGGGTGTTTTTTTTTTTAAACCTACCTCTTCTTATTGTCTACAAAGTAATAACCAGTTGAGTTTCCGGGCGTACTGGAAATCAAATGTCCTTATTTTAGAGCTTTTTCTGTGCAATTAAAATTACAGCGCATTGTTATTGTGAAACTAACATTTAATTCTCACATGAGATGTAAGGGTGCATACAAATCAAAGTTGGAGAAAACTAAAGTAGTTGATTAGAAAATTGGGTGATTATTTTACTGTGTGTTCTGATTTTTTAAAAATATAACTATAAATCAAACTTTCCTAAAATTTTTTCAGCTAAACTTTGTGGAATGTTGACCATCACTTCAATATTCAGTTCTAGTAACATGACGGTGATATACTTTAAAAGTGATGGTAAAAATCGTTTACAAGGCTTCAAGGCCAGATTTACCATTTTGCCCTCAGGTGAGTATAAACATTTGTGTAATAAGGACTTTTGTTTATGCAAATGGTTACAGGGAAGATAATTTAGCCATGTTTACCTCAATGTAGTATAGCAATCCCCTTGGTAAGCATAACAAAAATGCAGATTTCTGGATCCACCCCTAGAAACCTAGATTCTGTAGATCTGGGATGGGGCCCAGGAATCTGTGCTTTAGGAAGCACCTCAGTTAATGCTCAAGAAATGGCATCCACTGGAACATAAAGATTCCACACGCCACATACAGAAACAATAGAATTAGGATTAAAGAAGGTAATTCAGAAATGAGATTGACTGACTCTATTTTACCAAGTTAGGGGGCTTTGAAGAATTAATAGGTATCCTGGCACTCTGGAAGATAAAGTACGTGCTACTCAGACAAAAAGAATATCATATGCAGAAACCCTCACAAAAGAGAATGGACAACGTATAAGAAAACTACAAATAACTCTACATGTTTTGAGTTTTGGAGGGAATAATAGAAAAGGCAGGAGTGAGATCATGTTGAACATGAGGCATTAAATTATAAGTGCCAGAGTGATAGGATAGCTAGCTAACTTTTGATTACTTGCCCTGTAGCAGGTATTCACTAAGCATTTCACATGCATTATCTCATTTATTCCTCCTTACATACATAGGAGTTATGTGCATTGCTCTCCTCTCACCAGTGAGGGAAGTGAGGCTTTGAGAAGTTAAGTAACGTTCCCAAAGATACACAGCTGGCAAGAGGTGGAGTCAGAACTTGGCCTCTCTGACTCCAGAGTAACCTGGAAGATTATGAATGAACTTACATGCAAGAAAAGTACTGAGAAAATCATTGTAAAGAATTTATTCTATACGTATTGTTTTATTATATATATAGTAGGGATGGAATATATGAAGGAAGACAAGTCCAGTGTTGTATTAGTCAGGGTTCTCTTAGAGGGACAGATATATATATGTGTGTGTGTGTGTGTGTGTGTGTGTGTGTATGTGTGTGTGTGTTTATTAAGTATTAACTTACATGATCACAAGGTCCCACAGTAGGCTGTCTGCAAGCTGAGGAGCAAGGAAAGCCAGTCCGAGTCCCAAAACTGAAGAACTTGGAGTCCAGTGTTCTAGGGCAGGAAGCATCCAGCATGGAAGAAAGATGTAGGCTGGGAGGCTAGGCCCATCTCTGTTTACATGTTTTTCTGCCTGCTTTATGTTAGCTGGAAGCTGATTAGATTGTGCCCACCAGATTAAGGGTGGATCTGCCTTCCCCAGCCCACTAACTCAAATGTTAAATTCTTTTGGCAACACCCACACAGACACACCCAGGATTAATACTTTGTGTCCCTCAATCCAATCAAGTTGACACTCAGTATTAACCATCACAAATATGATTTTCAAGATCCTAGCTTGAATGGCGAGGTGAGTGGTAGAAGCCACTAGATGATAGAGAAATGTAAGAACAAGACTGTATTGACTCTTAAAATCATTTGGTTCAATTTAAGACATGTAGATATTAGCTTGTGGGAAATCCAAGTGGGGATATCTAAAAGTCTTAGGTCTAGGATTCAGGAAAGAGATTTAGATTGAAGAGAGAAATTTGGAAGTCATCTACATGTAGATGAATAAAAATAGAGTAATGAACATTACCTTGGCAATATCTTTTCAGGCTAAACAATGAGATCCTGAAAAAAAGACTGATATTGAAAACAGCCATCAATGTATAAGGAAAACCATGAGATTAATATCAAGAAACCAAGGAAGGAAGAAGTGCTTAAAAGAGCCAGATGGAACAGGGATATTAACGGATATACAAGAAATCACATTTCTGGGATCTGGCATCTAGTGTATGAATGGTAGTGTTAGTGAGATCTACAGTAGAGTAGTTTTATGATTTACCAGGGTAAGCAAGTGGGGTCAGTTAGTGCAACTTCTCTAATTACTTTCAATTAATTTTTTTTTCTTCTACAGAGTCTTTAAACAAATTTGAACCAAAGTTACCTCCCCAAAACAATCCTGTATCTACCGTAAAAGCTATTCTGCATGGTGAGTTGGTGACATGTTATTACTATCTGTTTAATCTTGTTTCTTCATTAACTAGATGTCTCTTTTGGAAGCCCTTATCTTACATTGGCTATAACTCCACAGTGAAGAAGAATGAGTCTTATATTTAGGTCCATAAAACGTCCAGAGTCATATTTGGATTTATAGTTAGACTCATAAATAGAGGGAAGAACAAATGAGCTTTAGGTTAGGAAGAAAAGGGTATAAAGCAATGTTTTGTCCTCATTCATTCCTCTACAAACTTAATATTTAAAATGACTTCTATAGTCAGTGTGGGGCAAAGAGAGAAAACAAAGGTTTTTTATTTTAAATTCACACTGGCATCTTTTAATTTCCTTATGCTCTAAGGCATCTGGGTAAATACTATGATCCCTCATTGTTCCACATACATGTATTGAATATGTTCAAGTTGATGGACTGGAATAGAAAGTTGCACAAGGAGCTATTAGAGAAGAAAATATCTGCCTGTTGCTGGAGGGTTGGAGAAGGCTTCCTAGAGATTAGTGCTTGGGCTATGGGTCTCATCAATTCCTGATAAGAGAACAGCATTTAGATGCCTGAGCAAATTTGATATGTTTGAGGATTGATACATGGATTCATACAGTGAGAACAAGAACTAAAACAAGAAGATATAATGAAGAACCTTATGTACTCTGCTAACAAACTTGAAATTTTCCTACTAGAATGTAAGTTCCATGGGGGCCAGTATTTTTATCATCTATTCTATTCCACCAATAATATATCACCAATGTCTGGAACAGTGCCTAGCAAATGGCAAGCACTAAATAAATATTTGCTAAATGAATAAATAAAATTCTGTAGGCCAGTCCCTAAAATTCTGGTTGCCTAGCATAGTCTGGGAAGGCTTCTTAAAATCAGATTTTTCAGAGGTGAGTTTTGGGAGTCAATATTATTATAAAGCCTATCTGATGTTTGAGAATCACTACTGTTAACTATGGCAAGCTATTGGAGGAGTATGTTCTAAATTACTGCAACCTTATGGGTCATTGGTTTCATCTTTACTGTAGATGTCTGTGGCATCCCTCCATTTAGTCCCCAGTGGCTTTCCAGAAGAATCGCAGGAGGGGAAGAAGCCTGCCCCCACTGTTGGCCATGGCAGGTGGGTCTGAGGTTTCTAGGCGATTACCAATGTGGAGGTGCCATCATCAACCCAGTGTGGATTCTGACCGCAGCCCACTGTGTGCAATTGTGAGTGAAACTGGTATTTTACCAACCTATTTAGCACATGCATTTGTAAGTAATGCCTAGGACACAAGGCTGACTACTAAGATCATCCAGACTAATTCTAGAGCAAGAATCTTCTTTTAGTGTTTCTTCTGCATAGCCATCTAGCTACTATTTAAACAATGTCAGTGAAGGAAAAGTTAATCAAATCTTGACTGCTTATCCCGTTTAAATAGATCTCTTATTTTGTTTTGCTTCCCAATTGCAGAAATCCACTGGTCTAAATGTACTGTAGTTCCAAAACTAAGTCAGGTTCTTCTTTCTATATTTGAAGACTCCTCTCATGTTCCCCTTTAGTTTAATCTTTAAGCTAAGTGCTCATAGTTCCACTGTTGGTTGTTAGTAATTCCAGACGCCTTACCACACAAGCCACCTTCCACCAGATTGGTTTAGGATTGTTCCTTTGCAAATATGGATCATGTCAGTGGAGACCACAATAGAATAACCTACCGCCTTGATTATTGCACTACTGGGGAAATAAAATTTTGGTTAAGTTTTAAATGTTCTTAAATTGTGAAGTCTTCCATTATATGAAATAATATACATAATATATTTGTAGTTTAAAGAATAGATATTAATGTTAAATGAGCATTTGTATTCCCAGCATCCAGTTTAGGAAGAATCTTTATACTCACCTTTCGAGACCCCTTAGAATCCCTCTTAAGAAATACTATGCTAAATTTACAAGGAAAAAAACTAACAACCCCATCAAAAAGTGGGCAAAGGATATGAACAGACACTTCTCAAAAAAGACATTTATGTGGCCAACAAATATATGAAAAAAAGCTCAATATCACTGGTCATTAGAGAAATGCAAATCAAAACCACAATGAGATACCATCTCACACCCATCAGAATGGTGATTATTAAAAAGTCAGGAAACAACAGATGCTGGAGTGGATGTAGAGAAATAGGAACGCTTTTACACTGTTGGTGGGAATGTAAATTAGTTCAACCATTGTGGAAGACAGTGTGGCGATTCCTCAAGGACCTAGAACCAGAAATACCAATTGACCTAGCAATCACATTACTGGGTATATACCCAAAAGATTATAAATAATTCTACTATAAAGACACATGCACACATATGTTTATTGCAGCACTATTCACAATAGCAAAGACTTGGAACCAACTCAAACGCCCATCAATGATAGATTGGTTAAAGAAAATGTGGCACATATATACCATGGAATACTATGCAATCATAAAAAAGAATGAGATCATCTCCTTTGCAGGGACATGGATAAAGCTGGAAGCCATCATTCTCAGCGAACTAACACAGGAACAGAAAACCAAACAATGCATGTTCTCACTCATAAGTGGGAGTTGAACAATGAGAACACATGGACACAGGGAGGGGAAAAACACAGGGGTTGGGAGACAAGGGGAGGGAGAGCATTAGGACAAATACCTAATGCATGTGGGGCTTAAAACCTAGACGACAGGTTGATAAGTGCAGCAAACCACTGTGGCAGATGTATACCTATATAACAAACCTGCAGATTCTGCACATGTATCCCAGAACTTAAAATTTTTAAAAAATCAAAAGAGAAAAAAATACTATGCTAAATTTCTTAAATGCTATATTCATACCATTGCTTTTGGGGGATTTTAACATATATGTATCCCTAAAGCAGTATATCATTTGGTTTTTCTTGGTTTTGATCTTTATGTAACAATTGTAGTTTATATTCTTGTGTCTTACTTCATCTCCGTAATACCTTGTGTAGAGTAAGCCATGTGGCTGTGTATAACTGTAATTTGTTTTCGATCCAGACTAAAGCAATCCCTTGTGAGTAGGTTCTGGGGCATTGATATTTTTGAAAAGCTTCCCAAATGATTCTAATGTGCAGAGGGTCAAGAACCACTCCCTGCCTCCCTGACCCCATCTTGTTTTGAGAACCAGTCTCTCTGTCACAGACTGGAATGCAGTGGCATGATCATAGCTCACTTTAGTCTTACCTGTGGGGCTCAAGGGATCCTCCCACCTCAACCTTCTGAGCAGCTGGGACTACAGATACATGCCACCATGCCCGACTTTTTTTTTTTTAAGACACGGGGTCTTGCTATGTTGCACAGACTGGTCTTGAACTCTTGAACTCAAGCAATCCTCCCACCTTGGCTTCCCAAAGTGCTGGGATTACAGGCGTGACCCACAGTGCCCCACTTTCCTGACCCCTTCTTGATCATTTCCCTGCTTGCTCCCAGCAGGCCAGCCTCATGGGTCTTTCTGTTGCTCAGATGTGCTGAGCTTGTTCCTGTCTCAAGGTCATTGTAGTTGCTGCTTCAGGGCAGCTCATTATGTTTAGTTGTCAAGTCTCCTCAGGCTCTTCTTGGCTGTAAACTTCTAAGACTTCCCTTGGTCATTTTGAGGAGACCTCATCTGTTTTTTTTGTAGAACATCCCTATGTCCCTCAGTTTAGTTTGTCTGACATTTTTGTCAAGGTTTTACTGAGGTTATGGATTTGGGGAAGAAAGACCACAGAAGTAGCATACTATTCTTATTATATATCAAGGGTTCATACAGTCAACATGACTTATCACTGATGTTAACCTTGACCATCTGGCTGAGATAGTGTTTACCAGGTTTCTCTAATGTAAAGTTACATTTTTCCCCCTTTCCATACTTACTTTTGGGAAACAAGTCAGTAAAGGTAGCCCACATTCAAATTGTTCCAGCTTTGGCCATTGTGAGCTCTTTCAGAGCTTGAGACCAGTCCTTTGTTTTCTGTGTCTCTTTGACACTCCCTCATCCTTTTGTAACACTGCAAGATACTCTAGGTCTATCATGTGTATTTCCTTCTCAGTTCTAGCACCAGCCATTTCTCCAAGGAGCCCTGGTTCATTTTTTTGGAGAATGGTATGATAAATCATGATCTGATGCTGGGTATAGTAGTTGCTAGTAGCACATTGTTGATCCTAGGCCCTCTCAGCTGACAGAGCTAGAAAATATAGGTATGTATACTCACCCATGTATATAAATATATCTATCTGTATCTACATCAAGCTAAACATGAGTTCATACAATATTTTCAATGCTAATTCAGTACCACCTGGTTCTGTCTAGGCCTTCTCTCCCTTACAAAAACCTATTTTTATAAGAATTCTATCAAAGTGCATTGAACGTACCATGGAAAAGATGCCTCAAGAGTAGCCGATTAATTTGTGAAAATTAATGTATTAGAAAAGAAAATATTAGTATTGAGTACAGAGACGCAGAAAAAGCTTTGGTAGATTCCCTTTTCAAATTACATGGTCTATTCTGAAATTTATGTGATGAGCCATGACGCCTTACAGCAAGATACAGAATATAACAAACCTATTCTTCCCAAGATAGATATTCCACTTGATGAATCAATTGAAATTAATAAACAGCTGTAAATGCTTGTGAGCCACTTGTTAGTCACAAAAAGAATTTGTATTTAATTTCATTTTTGACTTCTTAATTTCTTTAAAAATATGTATTATAATAGTAATGCTTTTGGGGAAAAAGGCAGTTAGAGAAGGTTATCAAGCAAGAGCTTAAACTACCCTCTCCATTTCTCTAACACACTATTTTTCTCTAGAAGTCATCAATATTAAGAATGTTTCAGCTGTCTGATTTTCCACTAATATTTAAACGTACATGCATATATTTTATAGTACTTGTATATATCACTTTTTTTGCACATAACATTATATCTTATAATTATAGTGGTATGGTAAATGTCTATGTGCCACATTTTTTAATACTTCACAGTTGCCTAAGTTATTTGACCAGTGAAATGTCTTTTTAAATCTAATCCTTGAAGTGTGTGGATCTTTACACCAGGAGTGTGCTCATACGCTGGTGTAACAAAAACCCTATGTCCTACACGTGCCCTGCCTTTTAGCTTCCCTGGCACTGGTTGACTCCAGTATTAATTCTCAAACTTCAGCATACTCCAGAATCACCTGGAGAGCTTCTGATTCTTTAAGTCTGGTGTGGGGCCTGAGAATTTCCTGATGGTGGTGTTCCACACTTAGGAAAATCTGGTGTTCTCATCTTGTTAATTCCACACAGGATTTTGTGCTCATTGGGACTTTTATCTTACTTTTGGAGACCAAGCTCACTTTGCAATTATATATGTGAATCTTTTGTCTAAAATTTAAATCAGCTACTGAAACTTCAGTGACTTTCTTTCTGTGATAAAGTCAGGTGGCTCTCTCTTCTTCCATAGCAATAAGTGACACATGCTCCACTGTTGGGTTGGGTATAAGATCCTAAGACTATAAGAAATGAAATTTTATATGGGAGAGGGGGAAGAAAAGGTGAAGAAATCCATCAATTGATACCTTGAGCTATGTTCCTACTATTGGAAAAATCTTAAGCTTTGTGGTATCATAAAGTGCATGTGGCTTTGTCGTGTTTGTGCAGTGTTCTCCATTAAACTGAAGGATATTTGCTGACTGTACATGTAAAACATCATGAGAAACTGTGGACTACATTGTCAATTCTACCATCATTCTTATTACTTCATTGTATTGTATACACTCTCTTCTATATAAAGATGTGGAGTAGATTTAAGAAGTTTCTTCACTACTAAGTAATTATTTAGAGGGTGACTTTGAAAAAGTTTAATCCTTCCAGTAGCGTGCATGGCAGATAATAAGAATGATAATGGCTACCATTATGGAGTCATTATCATCTACCAGGTACTTGCCAAGTGCTTCACTTGAGTTAGCTCCGTTAATAAAGGCATATTGAAACACATGAGTAAGTCAAACCCATTATGCAAGGAATTGAAATGAGCATGGTTATGACTGTGGAGAAAATGCCTACATGCATTAAGAATCTTCACCTTTAAATAAGGTATATTGAAAAATAATTTGAGTAACTTTACTTTTCCTGAAGAAACAGTGTTTAAAGAAATGGAAGAATTAAATGGAAGAATTAGTCTCCAAGTAGAAGTGACAGTGTATTGGTTCCAGTAGAGGGACTCTTTCCTCAGACACTTTTTCAGCTGGAGATCTTGATACGAGAAATTAATGGATATTGATTCAAACTTCTTAACATCATTTTGAGGTGTATCAGAAGTAGGCAGAACTTTTCACAAAATGAACACCCATGTAACCAACACCCAGATCAAGAAACAAAATACTGCATTACTAGTACCCAGCAGCCGCCCTTGTGCCTCTTCCAGTCATCACTCCCCTAAAAGTAATCAGCATTCTGATTTCTAACGCAATAGTTGAGTTTTGCCAATTTTTAAACTGATAAATTCCTTTGAACTTTAGTTTCATAACTCTGATTTAACAAAAGATGACGATCTGAGATATGACCCAGTGAGATCATAATTCGGCAATGTTGAACAGTAAAATATAGACCAGAAGCTACCTTGTCACAGATATAATTTTTTAAACATATTCTTTTTTTCTTGCAAAGATTTTTATTATTTATTAAACAAATTTAAGATATTGATAAATACAGTACTGAGATAAATACAGTATTAAGAGAAACGTATTTTCTCTTCCTTATGATTTTTTTGTATATATTTTTTATTATACTTTAAGTTCTAGGGTACATGTGCACAACGTGCAGGTTTGTTACATATGCATACATGTGCCATGTTGGTGTGCTGCACCCATTAACTTATCATTTACATTAGGTATATCTCCTAATGCTATCCCTCCCCCCTCCCCCCACCCCACAACAGTCCCCGGTGTGTGATCTTCCCCTTCCTGTGTCTAGGTGTTCTCATTATTCAATTCCCACCTACGAGTGAGAACATGCGGTGTCTGGTTTTTTGCCCTTGCGATAGTTTGCTGAGAATGTTGGTTTCCAGCTTCATCCGTGTCCCTACAAAGGACATGAACTCATCCTTTTTTATGGCTGTGTAGTATTCCATGGTGTATGTGTGCCACATTTTCTTAATCCAGTCTATCATTGATGGATGTTTGGGTTGGTTCCAAGTCTTTTTTAAACATATTCTTAACATCACTGTGAAATTAAGCTTTAATTATTTTCATTTTTCCTCCTCGACCTAAAAAAAGCCTTTGGTGATATTTGGCAAGGTTTCCAATGATACTTTATGGTCAAAAGAAAGGGGCAGGATACATGATCAAGAGCTCCTTTTCACATAGATCAGAAGGCATGATGTGGCTTCCCTGGGAGGGAGATCGCAGAGGCAATGGGACAGGGGACTGTTGCCTCGCTGAACTGAGCAGTGCATGTTAGTAGAGCCAGATGATGGTAGGGTGGTTTCCCTCCCTACCTGTTCACCTGATAGTGAGTTCTTGCAAGATCTGATGGTTCAAAAGTGTGTGGCTTCCTTTGCTCTCTCTCTTCTGCTTTGCTGTGATAAGATGTGCTTGCTTCCCCTTTGCCTTCAGCCATGATTGTAAGTTTCCTGAGGCCTCCCCAGCCATGCAGAATTGTAAGTCAATTAAACCTCTTCTTCATAAACCTCTTTTCCTCAGAACGTCTTCAGAAAGACTTTATAGTCTCAGAGTCCTTTATAGCAGTGTGAGAACAAACTAATACAAATGTGTTTTCATGTCAAACTTTCACTGTTCTTCTGTCTCCAGGAAGAATAATCCACTCTCCTGGACTATTATTGCTGGGGACCATGACAGAAACCTGAAGGAATCAACAGAGCAGGTGAAAAAATGTTTTTACAGGTCATTCTGCCTGTAATCTAAATGTTGTCACATGCCAAGGAATACCTTTAGCTAAAATATGTAATTAGTTATTAATCTCCTAGGGCCCTTTCACACTTATTATTTATACCCACATTTAAAAATGCAATTTGAGATTACATTTTCACTTGAGAATTGCAGGAAGTAGGTCAGAATTGCAAATTTAGGCCCATGGACACAGGTTTTCAAAGCTTTATTTCTCCAGCACCACCTTTATCCAGAAGGTGGTTCATAGCCCCCTGCAAATTGTAAACCAATATTGCTCTTTTAAATTTAATAGAAAGTCTTCTGCATTGTTTATGTATGTAAGTGCAGAAATTTAGGATTATTTTGGACCATCAACAAGGAAGTTGCTGGATTCTTTGACTTTCTTACGTTGTAATTTGCTTACTTGCCACCGATACAGGTGAGAAGGGCCAAACACATAATAGTGCATGAAGACTTTAACACACTAAGTTATGACTCTGACATTGCCCTAATACAACTAAGCTCTCCTCTGGAGTACAACTCGGTGGTGAGGCCAGTATGTCTCCCACACAGCGCAGAGCCTCTATTTTCCTCGGAGATCTGTGCTGTGACCGGATGGGGAAGCATCAGTGCAGGTAAGCATATTTTTGTTGCATAAACATTAATGCCAGTTGTTATTTTTGAAAATAGGTCATGTAAATGATATCAAGCAGCATCCGCTTCAGCCCCTCTTCTTTCTAAAAGATAGAAACCATGTTTTATTTAGCTGTAACAGATCAGCAAGTAAATAGAGAATGAGCTATTTAAAACTTTTCCTTCAGGGTAACTTAGATTATAAGTAGGCTAGATGAGCAGTCAACAAACCTTTACTGTAATGGGCCAGATAATAATCCTTTTAGGCTTTGCAGGTCATCTGGTCTCTATCACAACTATTTAAGTCTACTGTTATAGCATAAAGCAGCCATTGGCATTATGTAACAGAATGGGTTCCAACAGAACTTAATTTATAAAATTTAAATTTCATTTAATGTGCACGTGTCATGAAATATCATTCTTTGGATTTTCTTCAACCACCTAAAAATGTACAAACCATTCTTATTTAATGGCTTGTGCCCGTGTTTGGGGGTGGCACAGAATTTATCCACTGGCTGTCATGTGCTCACCCCTGGCTATGGTATAGAACTCTTAAAGGCTTAGTAAAACAGTGAAAGATCTGAATGGGTTGATATTTGTTTTGTGCTTCTTATACCATACAAGATCATTTTCTTTGTATATTTCCTTTCTATATGTCATTTATTTGGAATCTGTGAGCTTGAAGGAGGAGGGAATTTATATTTGACTGCTTACAGTGTTGATATTGACAGCTTACTGTGCTACCTGAAGCCAAATTGCACTTTCGTAAAAATCTTCACACCCAACACATGAGGAGCTTTTATCATCCCCATTTTACAAATGGAGAGGTTGTAACCCAAAGATTTAAGTAACTTGCTGAGATCCCATAACTAATAAATATCAAATTGAGGATTTAAGATCAGTGTGGCTCAGCTTATAATCTTAATGGCTTCTCATTACACATACAATCAAATCTGAACTTCTTAGCCTAGCTTGGAAAGCTCTGTGTGATTGGGCCTCCCCACTTAACCTCTTCCACATAATTTCCCTCTATTTTTCTTGTGGTTAACCTTCAGATACCGTGGCCTTTCTTCTTTCTCTTAAACACCAAGCTTGCTCTGCTTTCTGAAGTTCCCCATTTTGTGTCCTCCTACTTGGAACACTCTTATTACAATCTTGTCACAGCTGCCTGCTCATTATTGCATTTTCAACCAAAATATCACTTCCTTTCGTGGCCCACATTGCTGCAGCAGGACGGGCCTCCCATCACATTCCGCACTACCTGGTTTTATCCTCTCACTGCATGTTAATGTAGTTGGCATGATTTTATGCAGTCATCTTCTACATCTAACCCACTAGACTGAGAACCTCTTGGAGGCAGATCTGTCTTGACTCCTCTCTCCCCAAGGCTAGAAGCATACATGGCATTCAGTAAATATTTCTTGGCTTACCAGCTTCAAAGCCCTTGAATAAATGTGCCTGCTCTCTAATACCTTTGACTTTTACCAATTCCATGACTACCAGGCAACTGAGAGGTAGTCTTATAAAAGACGAATTCATTCTTTCCAGCTAGGAGAGGAAATGAATCTTGATTTCTGGGATATGGTCAGTAACACTAAGGGAGATGGTCCCCAAGAAGAGGAGTTTTAGTATATTAAGAAGAATGCAAGATTTAGAGTTGAACTTAGGCTTGATCCTAGTTCTGTCCCGTAAGAGCTGTGAGATCAAATTTTCAGAGGTCTGGCTTTTTCATATGTGAGATCAGTGTGATTAACCTGATCTCACATATGAAAAATGTTGTTGTATTATTAGGTTGGAATAAAACTCTTTACAAATATTAAGATACTATATAAATGTAAAGTACTTGTTATTAATATTGCCCCAAAAGGTATAGGGCTATAAAATATTAAACTTAAAAAAATTGGTCATAAATCTAAAATGATAGGATGAGTCATGCAAAATACATGTTAACACAGGCCTGCCTAAGGATCAAATATGAAAATAAATTATTCAGTGTTATCTTTAATTGGAGATGCGATTAGGCTTCAATGACAGTAGATGAAGAACAGGATTATGATTTTTGTTTATATTAGGAAATCATATAAGCATATTATTTGTAAGCAATTATATATTTATGTATATAAATATATAACCATATATATTTATAATTGTATAAGTTATATGTGACACCAATTCATATCATGCTGAATTTTTCTTCCTGAATTCTTATGCAGAAATATTTGATACACTAACATTTAAATTGAAAATAAGCTAGAAAAAAAGTGTTTCTGGTTTTATTCTCCTGCCAGTGGCCTCTCTTTACAAAAATGCCAAATTGGGAAATGAAGACATGTTACATGAAACACTTGTATTTTTTAAATTCAGAATTCTACATCAGCTCAGGCCAAACTGAATGACTTCAGCTATGTTGGTACAGAGCTACATCTGAACTTAAATACATTTCTAACAACACTTTCTGCTTACTTCATCATCGAGCTCTCTCTGAATGTTTCTTCATTAGATGGTGGCCTAGCAAGTCGCCTACAGCAGATTCAAGTGCATGTGTTAGAAAGAGAGGTCTGTGAACACACTTACTATTCTGCCCATCCAGGAGGGATCACAGAGAAGATGATCTGTGCTGGCTTTGCAGCATCTGGAGAGAAAGATTTCTGCCAGGTGAGAGGATTCTGGTTTTATACAGGAAGGTGGAAAATTGCCATCTGCTGAAGAGTTTCTATAGACAGGAGAAACCATTGCTGAAATCACCAACTTGTCACGTGCTTCAATATCATATCCCTGCATGAAGACCAGTGGGGCAACAGAAGTAATAAGTTAATTAATCCGAATTTGCTGAGATGTCAGAGAGTGGCCGGAAGCAGCTGTACAGCGACAAAGGCCGGTGGGTTCATAGAGGAGCTGGTGAGAAGGCAGGAAATGGCAGAGCTTCTAAGCAGGCCTGAGCAAGGGAAGATGTGTTCAGGTACAAATAAGGCTTTGGGAAAAGGAATAACAAAGAAAGGTTCTAAACTTATGTGTCCTACTTATGACTTAAAAGTTTTATTGTTTTAAATTATCATTAATCTCTGTACTCTCACTTAATTTTCCACAAGTTAAAATAATCACAAAGATGTCTATTGTACAAGCTTGATATTGGCAAGATCATAATTAACCAAGAAAAAGACAGAATATGAATAAACAGATTGTAGAATGCCAGCTTTAACCTTCACAAAGTCAATGGAAGAATGTGACTTTAGATATACATACAACCTAAGACTTCCTAACACTCCGTGTGCCTACCTCCAATCCCTGGTTTGGATGTGGGGCTACCCAAGTAAGGGAAAGTTTGGGTCCATAGGGGAGCCCAAATTCTCCAGACTTATCACTCCTGCTGGTCTGGTGTAGAGAGGAAAGAAAGAATGAATCTTGTTTCTGCAGCTCTTTGATAGTTTTCCCCACCACTCAGTCAAGAAACATGCAGCAATAGATTTCACCTCCATGAGGGAGACACAACTGGGCATTAATCTAGGTGGACGTCCTTCCATGTGAAAATATGAGAGAGGCAATGAAGTCCCCTTTAACACTGAATATAAGTTTATTGTCATTAACGCCTTCCTTTTATAATGTCAAGCCTTGCTTAAATTCTGTTTGAATTTTGCATATCTTTATTTGCATTCCCCAGAAGCAGACCCTGAGATAAGGATTCTGGTACAATGGTCTGTTTTAGGAATCATAGATATCACCAGTAGGAAAGGGAGGAGATGGTACAGGGAAGGGAAGGCAGCCAATCTAGGATGCATTATTAAGCCATCTGCCATAGTGAGGGCCTAATGCTTAATCCTGCAGGAAACTCAGGGCAGTGATGCTAAATACACGTGGTGAATTTATCCATCTGAGGAGCGAGGGAGCTGGGATATTTATGTACTACTTTCCCTTGAGCCATAGTTTGAGGGCTGCTGTGGGAAATGGCTGTTAATCCCTCAGCATTTCCGATACTTTAGGGTTGCCTCCTGGGTGTAGTGGAGAGTGGGGAAGACCCCAGGCACAGAGCCAGGACATGGGCTGGAAGATGTGAGGAATACGGAAAGTGCACTCCTGCTGTCTGCTAGAGTACATAAATGTTATCTGATAAAAATCACAAAAGTACTCTGAATTAATGTGTTCATTCTTCCCCTCAGTCTATTGTAGGATTTGAGGGATGGCTTTTCTTTCTTCAACAAGAAAATCACAACTAATTATGTTGTCTTTTACATATTTGACAGCATCTAACATTACAAGGTGAGCTTATTTTGTGCGGAAAGAAAAGAACTAGAGAGGGTCTTAGAAAGATCCATGTCACAGGTGACCTAAATATCATGATCTCAGTTGGCACTTATCTTTTCAGTTATATACAACTGTCACTTTGGCTGCAGCATGACCAAATGTACTGCCCATATATGGGAGGAAAACTGGAAGTTGAGATTTTAATAAATATGGCTAGCTTTCTATTACAAAGAACACTGAGTTACTAGAAGGGTGACTTTAGAAACTTGCTTTGATAAAATAGTCTCTAATACTTCTATCAGGTAATTGATTTTTATTCTCCTGTGTATACTTAGAGGTAATAGACCTGATAATGTGCTTTCTCATCCAGGAAGGTGGGAATAATAATATTGGAATGCAGAGACATGGGGTTTTCAGATACGCAACGTAGTATCCTGTTATTCTTTGCTAACTGGCTTTCAGATTTTTTATTCTAAGTTCTTTTTTAATTTTTAATTTTGTGGGTATATAGTAGGCATATATATTTATGGGGGACATGAGATTTTGATACAGGGATACAAGGAATAATCACATCAGGGTAAATTGGGTATACACATCACTTCAAGCATTTATAATTTGTGTTACAAACAATCCAATCATATCGTTTTAGTGATTTTTAAATGCAGAATTAAATTATTATTGACTGTAGTTACCCTGTTGTGCTATCAAATACTATTTTTTTCATTCTATTTTTTTGTACCCATTAATTATTCCCACTTCCCCTATACTCACCCACTACACTTCCCAGCCTCTGGTAATCATCCTTCTATACTCTATCCCCATGAGTTATGTTGTTTTGATTTTTAGCTCCTACAAATAAATGAGAACAGGTGAAGTTTGTCTTTCTGTGCCTGGCTTATTTAACTTCACATAATGACCTCCAGCTCCATACACATTGTTGCAAATGGTAGGATCTCAGTCTTTTGTATGGCTGAGTAGTACTCCATTGTGTATATGAACCACATTTTCTTTATCCATTCATCTGTTGATGGATACTTAGGCTGCTTCCAAATCTTGGTCATTGTGAATAGTGTTGCAATAGACATGGGAGTGCAGATAACTTTTCAATATCTTGATTTCCTTTCTTTTGGATGTATACCTAGGAGTGGGATTGCTAGATCAATGGTATTTGTATTATTTTTTTGAGGAATGTCCACACTATTCTGTATAGTGGTTGTACTAATTGATATTCTCATCAATAATGTACATGGGTTCCCTTTTTCTCCACCTCCCTATAAGCATTTGTTATTGCCTGTCTTTTGGATAAAAGCCATTTTAACTAGGGTGAGATGATATCTCATTGTAGTTTTGATTTGCATTTCTCTGATCAATGATGTTGAGCACCTTTTCATATACCTGTTTGCCATTTGTATGTCTTCTTTTGAGAAATATCTATTCAGATCTTTTGTCCATTTTTAAAATCAGATTATTAGATTTTTTCTATAGAGTTATTTGAGCTCCTTAAATATTCTGGTTATTAATCTCACATCAGATGGGTAGTTTGCAGAAATTTTTCCCATTCTGTGAGTTGTCTCTTGGCTTTGTTTCCTTTGCAGTGCAGAAGATTTTTAACATGATATGATCTTATGTGTCCATTTTTGCTTTGGTTACCTGAGCTTGTGGGGTATTACTAAAGAAATCTTTGTCCAGTCCAGAATCCTGGAAAGTTTCCTCAATGTTGTTTTTTATTAATTTTATAGTTTGAGGTCTTAGATTTGAGTCTTTAATCCATTTTGATTTGACTTTTGCAAATGGTGAGGAATAGGGAACTACTTTCATTCTTCTGTATTAAGGACATCCAATTTTCCCAGCACCATTTATCAAAGTGACTGTCCTTTCCCCAATGTATTTTTTTTTTTGCACCTTTGTCAAAAATGAGTTCAATGTAGATGTATGGATTTTTTTTCTGGGTTTTCTATTCTGTTCCATTGTTCTATGAGTCTGTTTTTATGCCAGTACTGTGCTGTTTTGGTTACTATAGCTTTGTAATATAATTCGAAGTCAGGTAATGTGATCATTCCAATTCTGTTCTTTTTGCTCAGGATTGCTTGGCTGTTCTGAGTCTTTTGTGGTTCCATATACATTTTATGATTATTTTTCTATTTCTGTGAAAAATGTCATTGGTATTTTTTCTAACTTCTTTTCATCTACAAAGTCATAGATCTCTATCTTCACAGAATAATATATGTCCTCAGCCACATTGATTTGCCTTCTAGCCTTCCAACTGACCATATCTTGCCTTAGAGCCTAAGCCCAGATATATCTTTTGCATAAAATGTTGTTCCTCCAGGTTTTTGGAAAGCTGGCTCCTTCTCATCCTTTATGCATCAGCTCAAATGTTATTGAAACTGTATACACATACATGCACATGTAAGCAAACATATAACTACCTTTATTCTTTACTATTCACTCTGAGTATTTCCTTTATAGCTACTATTAGCATCTTATTTGTTTATACTCTGTCTTACTCGGTATGTCTGGCTCACAGTAGGCATTGAATAATTTTTTAATAAAAAATATTCATTTGTGGCCAGGTGCAGTGGCTCACACCTGTAATCCCAGCACTTTGGGAGGCCAAGGCAGGCGGATCATGAGGTCAGCAGATCGAGACCATCCTGGCCAACATGGTGAAACCCTGTCTCTACTAAAAATACAAAAAATTAGCCGGGCTTGACGGTGCGCGTCTGTAGTCCCAGCTACTCGGGAGGCTAAGGCAGGAAAATCGCTTGAAACCAGGAGGCGGGGCTTGCAGTGAGCCGAGATCACACCACTGCACTCCAGCCTGGGAGACAGAGCAAGACTCTGTCTCACCAAAAAAAAAAAAAAAAAAAAAAAAAAAAAAATTCATTTGTTTGCTGAATATTTACTATGGACTGGACCATATGATAGGCACTGGCAAAAAGAGATAAATTGAACAGGTTCCCTGTATCATGGAATGTTTGTAATTGCCTGAAAAATGATGTATTGGCTATGCATTGGTACTGAAAAAAATCAATGATTTAAAATAAAACACTTGACTGGATACATCAGACCATTGTCCAACTGGAAACAACTGGAAGAGGGTTTTAAGTATAATTGTTATGTGAAAAAATTAGGCCCAGAGGAAAGGTTAATTGTTCTACATTACAGACTAGCAACTGTATCTCTTTTTTCCCTACTTAAGGTTTCTTCTGTTAAATTCTTTATATAAAGTAGATATTTCAAATATGTACCAGCAATTTATGTGCTATCAAATATGTACACAATTTATCTTACAAGAAGACAAATAAAGGACTTAGTTTGGTCCTAAATACATTTGTGTTCATCCACTTCCTGCAAAAGACCTGATTAAAAATTGGAAAGCCTAACCTAAAACGATGAAAATCCTATGTATTAAGGCTTGGTTTGATACAACTGGTTTATAAAATTTCACCGTAAATTAGGCAAACATTTATTTAGCATGTGTTAGTGCTGGATATTGTGGTAGGTTTCCTAGGGTACAAAGTTGAATCAGATGCAGTGCTTACCCTCAAATGGGGCACATGTTGTAAATACAGACATAAACAAGGGCATGTATTTGGTGCTGCCATTGATTTTCACATTGAACCTCAAGAGACATGTAGAAGATGTTAGTGCTAATTAATAGATAAATGTGTGTGATGTACATATTTTGGTTCCCTTAATAACAATACCACTGTTTGTTTTCTTCAAAATCTCTTTCTGCTTATAATTTGTCAATTTAAACAATGCAAATATTGAGAGAAATATTCAAGAGAGACGCTTCCATCTACGAGAGCTTCTTAGTGCTTGTGGGTAGTATTTTTGCCTTTTGAAATGTGTTTCATCATGACCAAATTAGCCATATCTAAGAGAGTACAAAAAATTAACTATAAGTTAAATTTCCATGTGTCTTTCCTTGAATTCAATAATTATGTAAGCCAGATACTAGAGCAGTTTAAGGTAGGTCCATTAATGAACATTTATCAGTTTGGTGGAAGGGAAAGAGCACTGAACTTTGGCAGGTGACATGGACTCAGATTTTACTGCTGCTACTACCTATGTGTGTGAAATGGGACAGGTCACTTATTTCTCTAATTGTAACTTTTCACATCTAATATCCTAGTAAGTTAAATTAGTTTGGCCCTTAAAGTCTTTGAAATTGTGCAACTTTGGTATCTGCAGGTAAGCCAAAATAAAATTGGAATACTAGAATTAGAATGAATACATTTTAATAGATTTAAGTCAGCCTTTAACTTTTCTTCACCTCACCACCAACACCCTAATTTCTCTGTGTATGTCATAACTCTACTCTTTGATCTGATTAGATTGTGTCAAGAGTGACCAGTGATAGGGAAAACACTACATATAGAGGTTACCACCCAATGACCCTAACCCGATTTCCTTAAAAAAATTTAAAAAAAGAAAAAAACAGGCAGCACATTTCTTGTGATGGATCCATCTGAGCCACTGTGCAGTTTTCTGATTAAATTTTTGTTTTAAAAAGATGCTTGAAATCTTAAATATTACAGTTTTACTAATTGATATAATTTAAAGACTATCTCCCTCCGATGGGGCTGGGAAGATTTAGTAATGTAATTGTTTTCTTTTTATGTGAACTAAGCTTTATCTTCACCCTGGAATCAAATTACCATCTGATTGTTCATAAATTTTGTTTCCTTTTGCAAAACAGTGAATAGATAGTATGTAAAGATGGAAATTGACAAAACAAATCTTTAAGGAATTAAACACATTACAAATACATTATTGGTCATTCTTGTTCTAAAAACTGAAAGCAGGAGCTTCAGATTAAAGCAGTTTTCTAAAACATGTTTTCTTGGTGTTTCAGGGAGACTCTGGTGGGCCACTAGTATGTAGACATGAAAATGGTCCCTTTGTCCTCTATGGCATTGTCAGCTGGGGAGCTGGCTGTGTCCAGCCATGGAAGCCGGGTGTATTTGCCAGAGTGATGATCTTCTTGGACTGGATCCAATCAAAAATCAATGGTAAATTGTTTTCAAATGTTATTAAAACAATAACCTCTTTCTTTAGAGTGGGTTTGGGAACAGTGAGTGTGGTATAAATTAGCATGAAAGAGAAAACCATAGAGTAGAATTTCATTTAGTTACTAAACACACTAAAATGCAAGATTCTGCAAAATAAGTTCTCCCATGTGTAGAGTTAAACTGACTTTTCCTTAGGCTGCTTTAATCCTGGATTTGTTTCTTTTTTGTTTCTTTTGATAGTGGCTGCTTTAGTGCCCACTATATTTTGTTCTCAGGCTTTCATCTTTATTTTTAACATGTTCTCCCCAAATACAGGTCCTGCTTCACTTCAGACAAATAATAAATGCAAAACCTTAAAACAACAATTGCCACCACCCACACCTTCACCAGACAGTGCATCTTGGCCAGGTAATAAATGTTTACATTATCCCATTAATACTTTCAGCCAGAATTTGGCAAGAAGCATTGTCTGTCTAGCTTTGCTAAATTTTCTATGGAACACTATAACCTCTGTGTTTTCCTTCTGGTTGGTAGTTTTAGCTGAAAGTGGGGAGAGTTGTTATTAAGATTGTTGGAGATCATTCCTACCCCAAAGCTAGACCTGTTGCAGATTTTTAAAAAAATCTTGTGGTTGTGAACCAGTGCTTGAATATTGGAGAATTACATAGAATTATTTTAAGCTCTGAATCTGAATAAAAGTCCTTCTATATGCAAGTATCTTGCCTAGGTAAAGACCCTGGGTATGAGATGACCAAGACTAGCGCCAGCATTAGTATTTCTCTTCATTCTTCCACAGTTGCCACTCTCTGTTTGATAAAAGAGGATTTTGATTTTTAGTCAAAACTAACAGCAATGGAGGATTTGAAATCTCTAATAGACTTGTAGGAAGATGGAAGTTCTATTTTATTATCACTCTTGGTTTCCAAATGGTCAGTCTTTCTTTTGTTGCCCACATCTTCCCCAATACATTCAACCCCAGTAAACAACTAGTAAGAGTTTAAAGAAAATGTAAGATATAGAAGGTAGAATTGCAAGAGTGATGACTTTGAGTAGAAGAAAGAAGATGAGATCTAGTACCCAAAAGGAGGCGATGGTCTTAGGAGCAAAGTACATATCATCTATAGTTAACTGATGGAAGGCAGGATCTTGAGGCACCGGTGCAGGTATGAGGTGTTTGGGAATAGATGGAGATCGGAGCCTGTGGAATTTCTCTTCTGATGGCTTCTTTTTCTTAGCAGATGAACAAAAAGAAGCGGTTGTTCAAGAAAGTTTGATTTTTAAGAGAAAAAAGGATGACATATTTCTCGAGAAAATGACATAGTGAACTAGAAAGATATAGTAGGATTGCTGGGTAGCATAAAGGCCCCCTGAGATGAATGATCATAAATTGAGAGAGCAAAATGCCCCCAGTTAGCTTAGTTGTATGTTTTCCTCTGGATGCACTGAGGTAGATGCAGAGTAGGTAGAGGGTAGACTTAATCAAAGTGGAGTATCCCCAAGTATGTGAAGGGTATAAGGGAATTCAGAGTGTATGTGAAAAAGTGGTTAAAATGATGGATCATTGGAATTTAGGATGGGTAAGGAGTGAAATAAGGATGAGAGATTTGTTTGGGACAAAAATAAGGTAGGATAGATAAATTATGAGTCCCAAAAGGTGGAAGGAGTATTAAGGGAGGCTGAAAAGATGGAAGGTTGTGGTTGGAGAAAATGGTTCCTGAAACCGAGATTACAGAAGGCTTGGAGTTATTGCTACTGATCAAGTGTCTAGGGGCTGACCATAAGGATAAGTGGCTGAGGTCAGGTGGAATACAAGATCACTGGAGGAAAATTGAGGAGCTGGGAAACTTCAGTGCTGGAATCATCATGTATATAGTGATTGAATTCAGAAAGAATTATGACAGGAAAAGTGTTGGAGAAAATGACCGCTAAAATCTTCCAGGAATAAGGAGTGGACCCAGGACCATTTGTCTGGCAACATGAGTCAAAGAGTCAAAGCTGGGGATACATAGAGTTAGGTTAAAAGTAAATCTGGACTTGGGATTGAGACAGAGAGCAGACTTGGGTCCAAGATCCTATAAACTATTGATTTCAATGGACTGAGTTAAATGAATGAATTCAGTGAGTGCCTAAATAGGTTAATCCATGTAAGGCATTTATAACAGGAAGGGTCTGACCTGAGATAAGGGTCCATAAATGGTGGTGACAGTGCCATCTAATGTATTTTTTGAATGACCTTATTCAGACCATTAGAAAATGAACATTGTTAAAATGTAAAGAAAATGTTTCTCTTTTAAATATGTTCAGAAATGGTTATGCACGCCAAAAACTTTGAAAGTTTTATATACGGAAAGGTGTTGCTTTGTTTTTATTCTATGATTATTTTCGGAGACAAAATGTTAGGACCATGCCATATTTAACACCCACCCACTCCCGCTACTAACTTTTTACACTAGGGAATTAATGAATCTTAGCAATGGTTTCTTTCAATTGTTACTCCCATTTATAAAAAGTCTTGACTTGTTGGTAATTCATGGCTGTATGTGATTTCTGGTCAGATTTTTCACAGAGGATTCATATAGAGAGGGAGAAAAACTAAAAAGATTAGAAAGACAGGCTGAGGCCAGACTCTGAAAGATCTTGCAAGCTGAACTACTTCAGTTGCTTTCAGCAGGAAAACAATTTGATTTTTTTTGTTTTATACACCATTCCCAGATGGTAGGGCAAGGCGAGGGAAGATTATAGACTGAAAAATCATTTAGTTTACTATTAAATCAAAATGTTAAATATCTGATTGGTTCTTGTAGCTGTACAGATAAAAAAAGAGGACTAACAAAGAAATGACAGAGAACCAAACAATAGAATAGAATCCTAAGTTTTTGTAGCACTTCATTTCCCTTATTCTACTTTTCACCTCTACTGTGAATAAAAGCATGTTTACGTACCTCCTCCTCAGGTACAGTATTAATTTCTCTAGGGCAGAGCATGCATAATTATGTATTCACTAACACATACATTAAAATATGAATATAGAATATTTCATTTTTTAATTGCTTAGAAAGTTTTTGTCAAAGGAATAGACATAAAGGAAGAAGAGAGAGTTAAGGACGAAGCCCTGATGAGGACATAAGAGAAGCTGATTGCTGAGTCAGCGGGCCATGGAAAAACTGGCACCCAAACTGCAGGAGGTATCCCAAAGGTCCAAAGGTGCCCTTGGACTTAGCAAGCTGAAGAAGTGAGACATCTCAGTATATCCAGCAAGTTATCTTTTTCATGACCTCAGTCACAAGCTCAAATGAATGTAATCATTTGTCCCAGCAAGTTCAGCTAATTTAGTGAAGCTTTGAGGAACAGGTCTTCAGCTGCATCTCAAAGGAGGAAGAAAATGAAAATCTGCTGGGTATAGAGAATGCAACCTACTGTCTATTTTCTAAGAAACTTTAAAAATTCATTTAAAACTGATTCAAAATAATTGTGATTTAAATTCTACCTCTATAATATCATTTCAAGAAAATAAGACACATTAAATAGAATGGTTTTCTAACAGAATAATTTGTAACTGACAGTAACAAAGTCTTAATTTTCTCCTTGCAAGCCTAGATTTTTCAGTCTTGTGATAGAATCTGGTTTTTCTTTGCTTTATTTATGTTGGTCCCTGGTGTCTGTGTGTTCTGAATTGCAGGTTGTTGCTCTGAAGCAGAGCTAGAAAAGCCTAGAGGCTTTTTTCCCACACCACGGTATCTACTGGATTATAGAGGAAGACTGGAATGTTCTTGGGTGCTCAGAGTTTCAGCAAGCAGTATGGCAAAATTTACCATTGAGTATCTGTCACTCCTGGGGTCTCCTGTGTGTCAAGACTCAGTTCTAATTATTTATGAAGAAAGACACAGTAAGAGAAAGACGGCAGGTAATCCTTCCTGGCATATAAACTTCGTGCTAGGAGTCTTG
Source organism: Homo sapiens (assembly GCF_000001405.40). NCBI lineage: Eukaryota > Metazoa > Chordata > Mammalia > Primates > Hominidae > Homo > Homo sapiens. The sequence continues at coordinate 29,451,303 of NC_000012.12, read as the reverse complement.
GTCCATGTAGGCAGCTTATGATCAGGAATGAGTCTGACTTGGTAATAATGTTACCAAAATGTTGATCCATGTAATAGGAATGCTTTTTCCCTTGTAAACACACTTAACATTTTCTTTATTATTATTATTATTATTATGATTATACTTTAAGTTCTGGGTTACATGTGCAGAACATGCAGGTTTGTTACAAAGGTATACACGTGCCGTGGTGGTTTGCTGCAACTATAAGCCTGTCATCTACATTAGTTACTTCTCCTAGTGCTATCCCTCCCCTAGCCCCCCACCCCCCAACAGGCCCCAGTGTGTGATGTTCCCCTCCCTGTGTCCATGTGTTCTCGTTGTTCAACTCCCACTTATGAGTGAGAACATGCGGTGTTTGGTTTTCTGTTCTTGTGTTAGCTTGCTGAGAATTATGGTTTCCGGCTTCATCCATGTCCCTGTAAAGGACATAAACTTATCCTTTTTTATGGCTGTATAGTATAACATGGTGTATATGTGCCACATTTTCTTTAACCAGTCTATCATTGATGGGCATTTGGGTTGATTCCAAGTGTTTGCTATTGTGAAGAGTGCTGCAATAAACATACATGTGCATGTGTCTTTATAGCAGAATGATTTATAATCCTTTGGGTATATACCCAGGAATGGGATCGCTGGGTCAAAAGGTATTTCTGGTTCTAGATCCTTGAGGAATCGCGACACTGTATTCTACAATGGTTGAACGAATTTACACTCCTACCAACAGTGTAAAAGCATTTCTATTTTTCCACATCCTCTCCAGCATCTGTTGTTTCCTGACTTTTTAATAATCGCCATTCTAACTGGAGTGAGATGGTATCTTATTGTGGTTTTAATTTGCATTTCTCTAATGACTAGCGATGTTGAGCTTTTTTTCAAATGTTTGTTGGCCACATAAATGTCTTCTTTTGAGAAATGTCTGTTCATATCCTTTGCCCACTTTTTGATGGGATTATTTATTTTTTTCTTGTGAATTTGTTTAAGTTCCTTGTAGATTCTGGATATTAGCCCTTTGTCAGATGGGTAGATTGCAAAAATTTTCTCCCATTCTGTAGGTTGCCTGTTCACTCTGATGAGTTTCTTTTGCTGTACGGAAGCTCTTTAGTTTAATTAGATCCTATTTGTCAATTTTGACTTTTGTTGCCATTGCTTTTGGTGTTTCAGTCATGAAGTCTTTGCCCATGCCTATGTTCTGAATGGTATTGCCTAGGTTTTCTTCTAGGGTTTTTAGGGTTTTAGGTCTTACGTTTAAGTCTTTAATCCATCTTGCGTTAATTTTTGTATAAGATGTAAGGAGGAAGGGGTCCAGTTTCAGTTTTCTGCATATGGCTAGCCAGTTTTCCCAGCACCATTTATTAAATAGGGAATCCTTTCCTCATTGCTTGTTTTTGTCAGGTTTGTCAAAGATCAGATGGTTGTAGATGTGTGGCATTATTTCTGAGGCCTCTGTTCTCTTCCATTGGTCTATATATCTGTTTTGGTACCAGTACCATGCTGTTTTGGTTACTGTAGCCTTGCAGTATAGTTTGAAATCAGGTAGTGTGATGCCTCCAGCTTTGTTCCTTTTGCTTAGGATTGTCTTGGCTATACAGGCTTATTTTTCAAAAGCATTTCTATACACCAATATAACAGCCAAATCATGAGTGAACTCCCATTCACAATTGCTATAAAGATAATAAAATACCTAGGAATACAAGTTACAAGGGATGTGAAGGACCTCTTCAAGGAGAACTACAAACCACTGCTCAAGGAAATGAGAGAGGACACAAACAAGTGGAAAAACATTCCATGGTCATGGATAGAAAGCAACAATATTGTGAAAATGGCCATACTGCCCAAAGTAATTTATAGATTCAATGCTATCCCCATCAAGCTACCATCGGCTTTCTTCACAGAATTAGAAAAAAAAAATCCTTAACATTTTCAAGTACTTTGAATTGAGAAAGCGAATATACTTAAGGTTGAGTGTGTGTGTGTGTGTGTGTGTGTGTGTGTGTGTGTGTGTGTGTAGGGAGGGGGGAAAAAGGCAAGAGGGCTCAACTTCTTCAAACATAGTGGAACCATGCCAGAATGCTGGAAGAATATATATTGTAAAAGAGCAAGTCAGAAGATGGTTAAAAATAGAGCAGGGGAGGAAGGTGAATGAAAAAATAAAGCAAAATACATTAAAGGCTTTTAAAGTGGCAGGATTGAAAAGATTTGGTGAAAACATGCCAGCCCTCATTTTTAATTTCATGTACAGAGAAACCTCTTTTTGTTCAACAGAACAAACTTGCTTCCTCCTGTTTGCACAGGTGTAATGAAAGCTTTTTGGCTTGCAGTAAGGAGGGATGTGGGAGGTGATTGAAATAATTTGGTTAATGGGGAAATCTGGAAAGAAAATAAATTTGTGTATGTCATTGTCCATGTGTGTGGTATATATTTATGCTTGATTCTGAAGTGCATAGAGGTCAGAGAAACTGCTCTGAGGGTGGGGTTGTTTTCTTAGGATAAACTCTGAGAGATTAAATCACTGGGTTAGAAAGCAAAAATGTTTGCTTAAAGAATCTTTCTTTATGATTACAACCTAATTTAGACTACAGTGACACAATTAATTAGCCTAACTGCTTGGCACATTTTCCCCCTAGAATCAGATCACCTCCTCCATCCCCTTTGATTACAACTGCTCCAGGGCTTCTTGCAGCTAGAATAAAATTCACACTCCCTGGAAGACTGCCTCTCCATCAGCTCATGGGTTCCCAATACCTCTCATTCTTACCTCGGGGCCATTGTCTATTCCCAGCACTTTGAAGAGCTCCTTCTCATCCTTGTGCCTCATGTCCTTCAATTCTTGATGGAATGTCACCTTCTTAATGAGACCAACCTTGACTGATGTAAGTTGTATCACGCCCCTGCCTCCAGACTTCTCAGTTCCCTTTTCTTAGAGCACTTATTATCTTCTAACACATGGGTCCCCAACCCCCGGGCCGCAGACCACTACCAACTCATGGCCTGTTAGGAACTAGGCCACACAGCAGGAGGTGAACAACTGGCAAGCATTACCACCTGAGCTCTGCCTCTTGTTAGATCAGTGGCAGCATTAGATTCTCATAGGAATGTGAATTGCACATGCCAAGGATCTAGGATGCCTGCTCCTTATGATAATCTAGTGCCTGATGATCTGAGATGGAACAGTTTTCATCCCAAAACCATCCCTCCCACTGTTTGTGGAAAAATTGTCTCCCACGAAGCCAGGTGCCAAAAAGTTTGAAGTCCAGGGTTAAAAGATTAGAATCTAACACATTATGATTTTTTCATGATTATGGCTTATCTGTGGCTTCCCTATTGAGTATGAGTTTCATGAGAGCTGGAATTTTTGCCTGTTTGTATCAAGAAGCCTCAGTGCCTAGAACAGTGCCCAACACATAGAAGGCACTTCACAAATAAATGAACAAGAGAATAGTCACCTCCTGAAAGAGGGCCTCTCAGTCTAAAGCAGCATCATCCATTCCTTCCCACAGTCATTGTCTATTACATTGGCTTTCATTTCATTAGTAGCTTTGATCTCTCTATGAAACCATCTTCATTTACCTGACTAAAATGAAAGCAGCATCATCCATTCCTTCCCACAGTCATTGTCTGTTACATTGGCTTTCATTTCATCAGTAACTTTGACCTCTCTATGAAACCATCTTCATTTACCTGACTAAAATGAAAGCTTCATGAGAGCAGAGACCTTTCTCTCTGTTCCCTTCTGTATACTTCCAAATGAGGTCAACACCTAGGGACTCGGACCGTTTTCTTTTTCATGAATTTTTGCTGAGTTTGTTTTTTGCATGAAGTTAAATTACTCTTCAGAAAGGCTAACTTAATTTTCACTGCCATTAGCAGTGCCTAGGATCTTCTTTCACCATGCCCAGAACCTAATATGTCAATTTAATAGGCAATTTTCCTTTAAAAATAATCATTAATGGAGATAATTTCTTTTTTGCTTTTATTTTTTTGTTTGTTTGTTTTAAGACTGTGTCTCCCTATTTTGCCCAGGCTGGTCTCAAACTCCTGGGCTCAAAAGATCCTCCTAGTTCAGCCTCCCAAATTCCTGGCATGTGCTACTGTACCCAGCTTGTTTTTTTAAAACTAATTGCCATTATCTTTTGTCCAGTTTTTAAATTTGAGTATTATTCTTTTTATTGCTTTATGAGCTTTATATACAAAGATATTTTCCTTTGTCATGTTTATTCTTAATGCTTATTCTTAATGTTGTTATAAGTTTATTCTTAATGCTTTCCTTTGTCATTTATTCCTAATGCTTATTCTTAGTATTGTCATTTGCTTTTGTGTTGTTTATTATGTTAATGTAAAAATTTTTTAATTTAGTTGTTTAAATGTATCCGTACATGTCTTTGATCTTTGATTTTTAATTCATTGCTTTCATGCTTAAAAATTTATTCCGCATTCTGAGGTCAGAATCTTTAATAAAAAAAAAACTTTAAAAATCATGCTGAAATATATTTTCTCATATGGCAAAGTGACTCTATACCTGCTTCCTTTAAAAGAAAAAAGTCTTTTTCTTCCCAATTGATAGCACTATTTCAATAATATACTATATTATTATACAGAGAGACACATTTTCTGGGGAAACTTGCCTTTATCATTATTACCTATTGAAAACCATGCTTAACTTCATTGTAGATTACCTGAGGAATCCCTATAATTTTCCAACCTAGCATTTCTTTAATTTTTGAAATTGTCAGCTTGAACTTTGTGGAATTGTTCTGTCCCTTCAGATTATATCTAGGATAAGAGCAAGACTGTAATAGAAATATTATTCTTTACTTAAGTTGTATAGCATTCTTTACTATAAAATGCTATATTTCTTCCTGTTAAAGGTAGCAATTCATTTAAAAGTTACATTCACTTCTATTTGCTACAAATAAATATTAGGTCATTCTTCAAATAGTATTTCACCATTGTATACTTTAAAATGCCAACGAATGCTTTTTCTTCTTTTCTCTTTCTTGGCTCTAATCTCCTCCTTCCTTTCATCCCTACAAGTATTTGTGAAGAACCTACTATGGACCACGGACTGAGTCATCTTGGTTCTGAGGATTCAGTAGTGAAAAAAATAAAATTTTCTGCCCTTACCAAGCTTATATTCTAGCAGGGAGAAAACACATAATAAGATAAAATATATGCTATCTTAAATGGAAGAACTAAGGAAGAAAAAATGAAATGGGAAAGGAGAAAAGAAGTATCTGGGATGTCAGTGCCACATAGTTGTATGTAGTACAATCAGCAGGTATCTCTCTGAGCAGGTGACATTTAAATAAATGTTAAAAAATGATACTGAATTATTCTTAGTTTAGAAGAGTTTGATCCTAAGAAACTCACAGGTTCTTTCCACACATGCTTAATCAGCCCTCTGAATCATTTTAGAATTATGATTATAATTTTCCCTTCTATCTTTGACTTAGGTTCTCAAAGCAATCAATAAAAAACTGACTATAGGGAAATAATAAATTTTCAGGTAGGAAATGTTTTCCATCATAGATCTTCATGGTGAGGTATTTTTAATAAGTAGGTTACTTTTCTAGGAGAAAAAGGTCACATCAGTCATTTTAAACATAAAATAATTTGCTACCTACTGTCCTTCAGGAAGCACTGCAACATAGTAGATAATGATGGATATTGGATACATGGACCCAAGTTGAAGATCCTAGCTTCCCACCCGGCTAGTTTGTGGCATTGAGTGAGTCACTTATGTTCTGGAGTCCTGTTTCATCATTTTACAGAATGGAATCAATTCCTACCTCGTGGGTTAAATTAATTGCTCGGCCTAAAATACAGAAACTGCTGTCAAATTTTCATTCTTATTTTTTACTAGAGTTCACTTTTTAACCTAGGTGGATTACATGGAAGAAGACTTTACTCAATGACTTTCATGAGTCCTGGACCGCTGGTGAGGGTGACATTCCATGCCCTTGTACGAGGTGCATTTGGTATAAGCTATATTGTCTTGAAAGTCCTAGGTATGTTTGGTTATTTTATAAACTTGTAAAGGCTAAAGAAATCAATATTACTCTATTTAGGAATATTTCCAAACATATACAACATTTTGAAAGAAATTATGTTTCTGTGGGGAAATGAGTATATGTTTGAAAGGAAAATCTACTTAAGTCACCTAAGATTTGATCAGGTCCAAAAGGGAAACTGCTCAATGGATAACTTGATTGAATTGTATATGATTTCTGAAAATGGCTAAGATATGTTCATTGCAAGATAACTTTTTTCTGTGGTTGCAATTTTATACCACAAAGAATGTTTTCTGTAGCTGTAAATTCTTGTGGCTCAGAAGATTTGGGTTCTAAATCTTAGCTGGCTGATTAGCTCTGGACAATTTATTATCTCTGATTAGAATTTTCTTTTAGTGATGTAATAAAAGATTAGAGTAAGTTTTGAAAACAAACTACACAAATATTAGATTCTAGTATTATAAATGTAAACAATGTAATTCAGAGTTGTCAGATTGAACTTTAGAATATGTAATTAGTGAGATTTTTTTTTATTCTTGATGTAGACAACTGAAAGCTAGTTTCCCCCCTTGGCACCTAAAAGCATTGCTGAGAATATGTTATTCTAGACCTGTGTATACTGTATATTTGGAAAAAGTTAATTAAGTAATAAAGCATTTATATCATATGAAAGTTTTCTCTTGGAAGAATATATTAAGAATACTGCTTTCAGATGGAATTAGGCAGTTAACAGGTATTATCTATAGCTGTGTCCTATAATCTTCCATAGACCCTAGGCTATGTCAGAGATCATCTGAGAGATGTGTTTGTTTCCTATACCTTTTGAATATTTAAGACGGAGAAAATTTTCAGTGAAACCAACCACCTCCTAATAATTACTTGTTTTCCCAGGACAATTAGGGAAGAGAGCTGTTTACCTTGATCTGAAAAGGCATATAGGAAGCCTGTTAAAAATTGGTTTTATTCTCATTTTCTCTGCTTCCTGTTCTTTTAGGTCCAAAGGACAGTAAAATAACCAGACTTTCCCAAAGTTCAAACAGAGAGCACTTGGTCCCTTGTGAGGATGTTCTTCTGACCAAGCCAGAAGGGATCATGCAGATCCCAAGAAATTCTCACAGAACTACTATGGGGTAAGGAAGTCATGATTATTATAATGGAAGAAGTGTGTGGAAAAAATTGCTTGACTGACATCAACACTTGGTACTTGCTTAAAACATTATTCTTCACCTTTTTTCCAAAAAGAATAGACTCTTAGGTAACCCCTAATCTATGGCTTTTAATATGGAAACAAAACAAAACAATATAAGAATGTCCTTGTTTATCAATTGTACTTTCTCAACAAAATAGACCATGTATTAGCAAAGTGAAAAGTCAAATCTTTACAAAGAATGTTGGAGGCTGATATAATGTATGTAAAATATTTGGGTACATAGTAGATACTTAATAAATGATGTGTGGGAGTTTGGGGCAAATTCTGGCACATATAGGTCCTTCAGATCTTATAAATTTTCAATCAGAATTTAAAACAATACACACAATTGGTCAGCCATTCATAATGTATGAACTTTATAAATTTTGGCAAATTACGTATTAGATAATAAAGTTGATATAATTTAAAGTACAAATCTTTCTCTCTCACAACCATAAGGAAACAGACACAAAAAATAAGGCTCACTGGGGGTCAATAACATTGATGCATTAATTTCTGAGCAAAATAACTAACAATATATTCTGTTTAGAAATAATTTCTGACTTTGTTTCATCTATGCCATAGTTGCCAATGGAGATTAGTAGCCCCTTTAAATCACATCATTCAGCTTAATATTATTAACTTCCCGATGAAGCCAACAACTTTTGTCTGTCATGGTCATCTGCGTGTTTACGAAGGATTTGGACCAGGAAAAAAATTAATAGGTAACTGATTTCCCATGAATCTCTATGCTACTGATTTTTCTCTGATGAAACATGTTTAGATTGTTTCATATTCAGTATGTGGCTTACATGTGACATACACTAGTCTCTTCTTATAGGATGTTGAAATAGACTTACTGTTAAACTTGTGTCAGATTTAAAATTAAGATATAAAATCTCCTCAGGTTTAGTTAAAAACAAAGTCCAACAACGTTTCTTACATGGATCATACCTAGATTAAAATTGCTCAGAAATACTAAAAATAAAGAATGAATGAAGCAGTTTTAGACAAAAACACAAGAAAATTAAGACTATAAAATTAATAAGGCAAAATAATCACAGCAAAAGGCATTACATGAGTTTATCAATTGGTAGGAGTTAGAAGCCTGGTTACTTTAATTTAAACTCATTATTTTCTTTTTTTTTGGCACAAATCGTTGTTTTTATTTAATTTGGGAAAAACATCTTTACAAGTTGATAAATACTAGAATTGTCAATGAGAAAAATGCTACTGAAATACCTATTTTTCTCTTTGATGGCAGAATTTCCTAAATATTTGCATTTTAACATATTTTATCTCATACTTTAGCTGACATTACTTAGTTGTATATGGATCTATTCTTAATAAAATAAAGAGAAAAACATAAAGAGAGGAAAAGGATTATTAAATTTGGTATTACAATTGTGTAGAAGTTTCCCCATCATAAAATTTCTTTTTTTTATTTTTTTTTATTTTATTATTATTATACTTCAAGTTTTAGGGTACAAGTGCACAATGTGCAGTTAGTTACATATGTATACATGTGCCATGCTGGTGTGCTGCACCCATTAACTCGTCATTTAGCATTAGGTATATCTCCTAAAGCTATCCCTCCCCCCTCCCCCCACCCCACAACAGTCCACAGAGTGTGATGTTCCCCTTCCTGTGTCCATGTGTTCTCATTGTTCAGTTCCCACCTAAGAGTGAGAATATGCGGTGTTTGGTTTTTTGTTCTTGAGATAGTTTACTGAGAATGATGATTTCCAATTTCATCCATGTCCCTACAAAGGACATGAACTCATCATTTTTTATGGCTGCATAATATTCCATGGTGTATATGTGCCACATTTTCTTGATCCGGTCTATCATTGTTGGACATTTGGCTTGGTTCCAAGTCTTTGCTATTGTGAATAGTGCCGCAATAAACATACGTGTGCATGTGTCTTTGTAGCAGCATGATTTATAGTCCTTTGGGTATATACCCAGTAATGGGATGGCTGGGTCAAATGGTATTTCTAGTTCTAGATCCCTGAGGAATCGCCACACTGACTTCCACAATGGTTGAACTAGTTTACAGTCCCACCAACAGTGTAAAAGTGTTCCTATTTCTCCACATCCTCTCCAGCACCTGTTGTTTCCTGACTTTTTAATGATCGCCATTCTGACTGGTGTGAGATGGTATCTCATTGTGGTTTTGATTTGCATTTCTCTGATGGCCAGTGACGGTGAGCATTTTTTCATGTGTTTTTTGGCTGCATAAATGTCTTCTTTTGAGAAGTGTCTGTTCATGTCCTTTGCCCATTTTTTGATGGGGTTCTTTGTTTTTTTCTTGTAAATTTGTTTGAGTTCATTGTATATTCTGGATATTAGCCCTTTGTCAGATGAGTAGGTTGCGAAAATTTTCTCCCATTTTGTAGGTTGCCTGTTCAATCTGATGTTAGTTTCTTTTGCTGTGCAGAAGCTCTTTAGTTTAATTAGATCCCATTTGTCAATTTTGGCTTTTGTTGCCATTGCTTTTGGTGTTTTAGACATGAAGTCCTTGCCCATGTCTATGTCCTGAATGGTAATGCCTAGGTTTTGTTCTAGGGTTTTTTATGGTTTTAGGTCTAACATGTAAGTCTTTAATCCATCTTGAATTATTTTTTGTATAAGGTGTAAGGAAGGGATCCAGTTTCAGCTTTCTCCATATGGCTAGCCAGTTTTCCCAGCACCATTTATTAAATAGGGAATCCTTTCCCCATTGCTTGTTTTTGTCAGGTTTGTCAAAGATCAGATAGTTGTAGATATGTGGCGTTATTTCTGAGGGCTCTGTTCTGTTCCATTGATCTATATCTCTGTTTTGGTACCAGTGCCATGCTGTTTTGGTTACTGTAGCCTTGTAGTATAGTTTGAAGTCAGGTAGTGTGATGCCTCCAGCTTTGTTCTTTTGGCTTAGGATTGACTTGGCAATGCGGGTTGTCAACCCACAAGGATTTTGGGTGGTCAACCAACATTTCTGGACACCATGGGATATATGGGACTTTGGGAATTATCTCAAATCTTTCTAAGACTCAGTTTCCTCATTTGTGAGAGGAAACACCCCACCACCATGCACACTATGGTCTATGAATTCCCAGTTTACTTAATCAAGGATACCAATGCGTAATGAAGTAAAAGCCCAGAGAAAGAGGATGTATGGCTTTTTGCTGGCCTTTGCCTTCCTAAGAAGGGCCCAGATACAAGTGTCACTCTCCATGCAGGTAGGGTCCTCTCAGAGTGGGTAAAAAATCCAATTGCTAAACTGCTGTCTTTTTTATTCTTCAGATTTACAATACCATCCTAGAAGTAAGTGCATTAAGAATATTTGTGTTTCTATTTAGGAGAATGTTGATGAGCACTGAGCTTTCTTGGTTCCTAAGCCAATTCAGCACCAAGAAGACCACAGCTTCTTGTGGGGAGACTGCAGTATCTATGAAAATGATGTATACTTCTATCTTTCTTGCCCTACAGAACACCTGTTACCATGCACTGCCTCATGAGGTTGTTTTGAGAATTAAATAAGAGAAGGCATGTTAATCAATACTAAGAAACCAAGCTTGCATTTTATTTGGATTAGAAATATCTATTATGATTCCTATTCTTAAAATTGTGCTGCTTGGAGGAGTTTAGACTGTCACCCTATTGCCTCTTCTATGGGTGAAAGGGCACACAAAGATTGGAAAAACAAAGAAATAAAGAAGGGGACAGAGAAGGAAGAGTACATTAGCAATATCAATTATTACTTATAATGTTAATCAACTGTATATCTGTTCTTTACTTAGAATTAATTCATAAAACCTACTGTTTTCTATTTCCTTCTCCCCAAAAGTTTTATGACTCTATTTCAATTTCTCTAAATAAGGTTTACAAGCTCTGGGGTATAGGAAAGGTAAAAAAATATTTCTCTTCTACCCATCTATCCAGAGGAACAAATCCTGTGATCAGAAGTTTAGAACTTATAGCCCAACCTCTGGGTAGGGGAGAGGGACTGGAAATTGACTTAATCAGCAATTGCCAATGATGTGATTGATCATGTCTATGTAATGAAGCCCTCATAAAACCCCAAAAGGAGAGTTCATAAAGTTGGGTTGGTGAACACACGGAGGGTGCTGGGAGGATGGTGTACCCAGAAAGAACATTGAAGCTCTGTGCCCAGTCTCCATATCTTGCCCTATACATCTTTCATTGGACTGTTCCTGAATTATATCCTTTGTAATAAATAGGTAAACACAAGTAAAGTGTTTCCCTGAATTTTGTGAGTTGTTTTAGTAAATTATCAAACCTGAGGAGGGGATCGTGGGAACCTCTGATTTATTGCTGGGCAGTCAGTAGCACATGTGACAACCTGGACTTGCAATTGGCATCTGAAGTGGGGAGTGAGAGCAGTCTTGTGAAACCGAGCTCTTAACCTGTGCAGTCCGTGCTAACCCAAGGTAGATAATGTCAGAATGGAATTGAATTGTAAGATACCCAATTGTTGTGGAGGGAAAAAATCCCATACATCTGGTGTGAGAGGTAAAGTACCGAGAGTAGCAGTAGTTGTAGTAGAGATAGAGATTTTTCCTTTAGTTGGTGTAGAGAAGTTTGTTTTTTGTTTTTTGCTTTTTGTTTTTTGTTTGTTTGTTTGTTTGTTTTTCTCAGACCATCTTAGCTTCATTCGCTGGAACTCTGGCAATGATACTGACAAAAGACATATTAAAAAGAGAAAAACTGAATTTTATTAACACATATATCATGCATATATGGGAAAATTCAGTGGTGAGTAACTCAAAGAGGTGATTAGAACTTGGGCTTATATAACATCTTAACAAAAAGAACAATAAATAAGAGAAGTGACAAAATAAAGGAAAAGGACTTTGAGCTTCTAAAGGCAAAGGACTTTGAGCTTCTAGGGGTGGCATATTGTAGGAAGGTGAATATATTGGGGACAGTTGTAGAAAATAAAAGTTACTTTAGAAAGATTTGTTATGTAGATTCTTCTGGTGCCATCTCTGGGCTGATAAGAGTCGAGATTTGTCTCTAATTAAGAATTGTTCTGCCCTCCTAGTGGAGATAGTGGGAGGGCAGAGAGTTTTTCTTCTGTCTACATTTTATTTTCAATTGCTTTCTGCTGAAAATAACCCTTGTACCAGGATGGTATACTCTCAACCACCTCAGGGTTAAGTCAATGCTTGACCTCAGCAGATTATTTGATGAACATTTGACAGAACCAAATAGGATTTATCCCAAGAACACAAGGAAAATTGAATATTAAAATGTATTATATATTAAGATTTTCTACTGTAAATGAGAAAAAATAGATACAAATTATATAGCAATTGTAATCTTAAAACCATAGCAGTAAAATGTAGAAGATATAATGGAAAAATTACTTCAATTACATTTAGTAATAAAAGCCATACAATAACTAGGAATAACCCTAAAATTTGAGATTTATTATTCAAACTATGAAACTTTATTAAGGTGCCTGTGTGGCACACAAATACATACAAACACACAAAGATTTGCATAGATAAAAGTACCATGTTCCAAAACTGAAAGATATAACTCATATTAATTCAACACAAATTAATTTAAAAATATATTTTCCAACTAAATCCCAATGGAATTTTTTTTTTTCTGGAGGGATGAAGAGGAAATTAACTCCGAAGTTTATCTTGTAAAGTAAATAGCACTAGTTGAAAATCTCTTGGGGAAAGAATGGCCAAATGGTTAAGGTAGAATTGCTCTATCAGATATTAAAGTATACTCTAAAACCATGGTAATTAAAACTATCAGAAGAAACATGTGATTGAAAATAGATTAGAAGGGGCCCTAGAAAATTTAAGACCATTTTATGTGGTTAATTTGGCATTACCACTCAGAAAATGTATAAAATTATTCTTCACATCATACAGTAGCTGATAAAGGAGTTAGTTTACCTAAGGCATTAAAAGTGGAAAATATTGGTAGTTAACCATATGGAGAAGGACTTTCTCATATAAAAGTAGTAGAAGAAAACAAATTAATAAGTTCCTGTGTAATTAAAAACTCTTCTGCATCCACAGAAACAAAACTAAAAAGCAAATACATGGGATTTTCAACTATGCTGAGAAAAGTCTGAAGTAATTAATATAAGAAGTGTTTACAGATCAATAATAGAAAAGCTAAAATCTGTAAAATAAATTTATAGAACCTAGATACCTTTGACTTAGTCTTGATTAAAGTTAAACCAGAGGTCCTGTGCCTTCTGTTTTCCACTTATTTTTCAAAAGAATGACACACTGTTGACCCAAGTGCTTTTGAGAACACAAAACACAGGATTAACCATTAGCCTCTTTTGATAGATAAGAAAGGTTACTGAATATTTACATACCAGTTACTACACAATCTAAATTAAATCTCTTGTTTCTTGTCACAATGAAATTGATCCTCTGGCCATCTCTTTACTAAAGAGGGCAGAGTTTTCCTGTAATCATGGAAAGCATACTAGTTCTTAGGATCCTTGATTTGAAACCTTGAAAACTATGAGTGTTACAGCAAACTACATTTACTAGAATGTTTGTTTCAGAACATATTGTGTATGATCAGTTAAACTTAGAGATAGTTTTGAAGCAAATTATCACCCTTATGATAATTCACCCATGACTATGACCATCTTGATCTACCTCTAGTTAACTCGAGTATAAAACACTGAGGGATTTTCTTTAGAATTAGGGGATTCATAATATGAAAAAATTATTAAGTACAATAAATAAGGGTCTAACCAATTCCATATTACAATTCAGAATCACTGTTGTCCATGACATACCCTACTTTTAAAAATGACAAATTAAGAGGTGAAGCCAGCTGGGCTTCTGGATTGGGTGGGGACTTGGAGAACTTTTCTGTCTAGCTAAAGGATTCTAAACACACCAGTTGGCGTTCTGTGTCTAGCTAAAGGTTTGTAAATGCACCAATCAGCACACTGTGTCTAGCTAAAGGTTTGTAAACGCACCAATGAGCACTCTGTAAAAATGCACCAATCAGCGCTCTGTATCGAGCTAAAGGTTTGTAAATGCACCAATCAGCACTCTGTAAAAACGGACCAGTCAGCACTCTGTAAAATGGACCAATCAGCAGGATGTGGGCGGGGCCAGATAAGGGAATAAAAGCTGGCCACCGGGGCCAGCAGCAGCAACCCGCTTGGGTCCCTTTCCATGCTGTGGAAGCTTTGTTCTTTCGCTCTTCACAATAAATCTTGCTGCTGCTCACTCTTTGGGTCCGCACTACCTCTATGAGCTGTAACACTCACCACGAGGGTCTGCAGCTTCACTCCTGAAGTCAGTGAGACCACAAACCCACCCGGAGGAACAAACAACTCTGGATGCGCCACTTTTAAGAGCTGTAACACTCAACTGTGAAGGTCTGCGGCTTCACTCCTGAAGTCAGCAAGACCATGAACCCACCGGAAGGAAGAAACTCTGGACACATCTGAAGGAACAAACTCTAGACACGCCATCTTTAAGAGCTGTAACACTCGCCGCAAATGTCTGCGGCTTCATTCTTGAAGTCAGCAAGACCAAGAACCCACTAGAAGGAATAAATTCTGGACACAAAATGAGCTGAGTGAGAAATTTATAGACAAATACATAAAAAATATAATATTTGGCCTTTTTAAAACAAATGAGAAAATTTAACTGCTAAATTGACAACAATTTTGAAGAATGATTATACTTGTCAAATGTTATATAACATGTATTTTCATCTCACTGAGGTATAACTTGGAGTATGTTTTCTAGAGAAATATTTTTCAAAACTAAGTTCATAAAGTACTGGGTGTCTCAACTTTTAGCTATACTTATATTATTAAAATAAGCTTTATGTATGTGCAGAGATGTTAACACACTAGATTCATTCAGCATTTTTATAGTGGCCAAAATGGAAAATAGTCTAAATCTTAGTCTAAATAATTAACAAAAATATAATATAAATTATAAATTTATGCAGCCATTAAATAAAATATTGTCACATAATTTTTAAAATAAAACACCTGTCATATTGAGTGAGAAAATCAGGATGAACTATATAATTCAAATTTGTTTAAAAAGTAAATGAAATACAGGTCTAAAAAGATCAATATGTTTAATTGGACATCTTTATAAGATTATGAGTAATTTTTTTTGAAATTCTCTAAATTTTTCCCAGTGAATAAATAAACATTTCTAATTTTAAGGCTATAAATAGGGAAAAGAAGGAGGAAAAATATGTCTTGTTCTACAAGCTGAAATGGATTCATAGTGGAGCAGTTACAGGGAGCTTCATGACAGTATTCAAACCATTTAGCAGCCTGCCTCACAAGAAAGGGAACCAGATGAGATTACATCATCTTCTGAGGGGTGCTTTAGAAATCTTAGGGTAGTGGGAGGTTGAAGGAAACTGCTATTACCAATACCCTTTTTAAGTCACGGGGCCTCCGGGTGCGGTAGCTCATGCCTGTAATCCCAGCACTTTGGGAGGCCGAGGTGGGCGGATCACGGGGTCAGGAGATCAAGACCATCCTGGCTAACACAGTGAAACCCTGTCTCTACTAAAAATACAAAAAATTAGGCGGGCGCCTGTAGTCCCAGCTGCTCGGGAGGCTGAGGCAGGAGAATGGCGTGAACCCAGAAGGAGGAGCTTGTGGTGAGCCGAGATCGCGCCACTGCACTCCAGCCTGGACGACAGAGCGAGACTCCGTCTCAAAAAAAAAGTGGTTTTTAAGAGACAGGTTCTCGCTATGTTGTCTAGGCTCAAGTGCAGTGACTATTCATAGATATGATCGTAGTGTATTCAGCCTTGAACTCCTGGGCTCAAGCAATCCTGTTCCTCAGCCTCCCCAGTAGCTGGGACTACAGGCTCACGCCACGGGTCTGGCTGTTCTAAGAAATACTGTCTAAAATGTTTCATTTTGACCAACTAATGGGTTTGACTTGTGTGGCAATTACTGCAACTTGCCTGTTATAAATTTGGCCACTGTGGATAAATGAAGGTTATATGTAGCTAAAGCTCAAATATACTTGCTAAAAATATTATATTTCAGTTTGGTGACAGCAATAACTTTTTAGTTCCCTGAGGACCCAGTCTTAGACCATGTCACCTTTTCTTACAACATATAGTTTTTAAAAGATGTACCTAAGTTATTCCGACATCATAAGAACTGGGCATTATGTCCTAGTTGATTTAGAACTACTGTCTTAAAACTGCTTAGACTCAGGAATAGGGAACATCCAGCTCTCTATTCTAATTGGCTTTTATTCAGTTATTTTTCCCATTTTTATATTGATATAGCAGAAATTTATAATTTCAAACATAAGAATTTTTTACTTTGCTCAATAATCTTTGTCTTGATGAATAGTAAGGTTTTTTTTTGTTGTTGGGGACAAGGTAAATTATGTGAAAGAGATTCACTTTTATGAAAATCTCTTACGATTTTCACATATAATGTCATTTTGGCCATGAAGAGTTTTCTCTGAGAGACTCTTTTTGTATTTCTGGTAAGTCCATTTTTTCCCTATTTGTTGTTTTTGTTCAATTTCTTGTGCTTCTTTTGTTCCATATGTATGTTTTTGTTCAATTTATTGTGCTTTATTGGGAAAATTTTGTTATCGAATAAGTAAATTAATAGATTGTAATTCTTTGTTTCATTTGTCAGCTTTAGGAAAGGACAAAAATATAATATTTAAAATTCTGACTTCTGTAATCTGTGGAGGCCTCATGCTAAACCTGTATGAAGTACAAGATTGAGCAGATTTTTTTTAACACCTAAGCATACTCTTTATTTTTCTGGATACTTGGAATATTGCGACAATACAGTCAGAAATTTTTATCCCTAGCAAAGAAGTTTCAAGTAGCTTTTCTCTTTTGGAATTCACTTCCTGAATGTACTAATATCAAGAATAATTTGTCCTTTTTTTCTTTACTTGTTTGATTAGTTCATATGTGTTAGTTGTAACCAGATTTTTGAAAGATACGCTTTGTCCGTCATCCTGTGGTTTGAGCAAAGGCACTAATAGCATTATGAAAACGGGTAACTATTGCAAATTATAGAAATCGGATATCATAGAGAAACATTTGCCATTATATTTAATTCTGAATATTTATTAGAATTCCCTCAGTACTTAAGATTAATCCATTCACACTCATTTTTTTTTAATCAGCCAGCAGGCTTTGCTTTACTGCCCATTTTACCTTTTGTTTCTTTTTTTTTTGGACATGTTAATTGAAATACAGTTTGGGAGGCATTTCCATTAAAAACATTTTACTTAATTTTAGTATGATAATGTAAGAAGTGTTGGAAAAAGAAAACAGAAGAAATTTGCATCAAATTTAAGTTATGTAAGTATATCATAAGGGACTAACATAAAATAGAAAAAAATCTCACATTTAAACCGAGAATTATTCAGACCACCAACAAATTGTTGTAGGAATATGCCAGGCACTATTCAAAGAAATGAAGATTGAGCAATGAACAAGACAGTCCCTGCCATAGTAGCACTTACAGTCTAGTAATGGAGATCGTCAATAATCATATAAAAATATATAGTATATTAAGTTACTGTATTAGTCCATTTTCATACTGCTATGAAGAAATACCTGAGACTGGGTAATTTATAAAGAAAAAGAGGGTTAATGGACTCACAGTTCCACACAGCTTGAGAGGCCTCATAATCATGGCGGAAGGTGAAAGAGGAGTAAAGGCACGTCTTATGTGGCAGCAGGCAAGAGAGCGTGTGCTGGGGAACTGCCTTTTATAAAACCATCAGATCTTGTGAGACTTATTCATAATCACGAGAACAACATGGGAAAAGCCCACCCCCATGATTCAATTACCTCCTACCGGGTCCCTCCCCAGACACATGAGGATTATGGAAGCTACAATTCAAGGTGAGATTTGGGTGTGGACACAGCAAAACCATATCAGTTATAAAGAAAAAAATACAGTGTGCAACAAAAATATATAACAGAGGAAGCTTGTTTACTTCGATGGAGGACAGGGAAGGGAATCAAGGAAAACTTGGATTTCTCTTTTTTTTAGCAAGACTCCATGGAAGTTATTTATACTCACTGTCTCCCCTTTTGCCCTCTCGTTTTTCTTGAATTTATCCTCATATGGCTTTATTTTTTTCCTACCATTTCATGGACACTGTTCTTGCTGAAGCTATCAATGACTTCCACAAGTCCAGATTTGGTAGTCCCTTCTCAGTCATGACACAGACGAGCTCTCCCTCCTCAAATCTCACTTGTTTTGGTCTCCAAAAAAGGAGAGCTCACTGGTCTCCTTCAGAGTCTTGGCTGGTTTTTCCTCATTTTCTCTATCACTGTCAGTTGAGGTATCCCAGGACCCAGTCTTTGACTCTCTTCCTTTCTTTACCTATACTCCTTCCTTAGTGATCTCACCCATTCTCTAGCTTTAAATACCATCTATACAGTGATAACTTCCAAATTTATATATCCAGTCCCAGCTTCTTTATTGAACACTAGCACTGTATATCCAAGTGTCTCCCCTTCCACTTGGCTATCTAATAAGAATCTCAAACTTAACATGACCAAAATTGAACCCTTGATTTCCTACCCCTGCCTCCAAGCTCTTCCTCCACCAATCTTTCCCACCTTAGTAGATAGCAACTCCATTTTGCTAATTAATTACTCAGGCCATTAAACTTGGTCCACCTTGATTTCTCACATTCCACATCAAGTATAGCTCATCAGTAGGTCTTTCAGTAAAATAGAGCTAGAATGCTACTACTTCTGAACAATTCCACCATAATATTTTGGTACAGCCTTCCTTTAGCCAGTTTTATGTGTAATAGCCAAAGTGATCATTTTAAAATGAGTAATTGAGATCATGTTTATAATCCAATGTTTTCCTAACTCATTCATAGTAAAAGTCCTTATAGTGCCTACAAGATGCTATAGGATCTGGCTCTTGACTATCCCTTTGATGTCTTCCCCTGCTACTTTTCCCAGTGCTCACTTCATACCCAGCCATGCCAACCTTGCTGCTGTTCCTCAGCAAGCATGCCCTCTGCTATATCCCTGAAACCTATAACTATGCGTGGTAAATAGTACTCAAGAATTGTTTATTTGAATAAAGGTAATGACATTTCAGCTAAGGCAGAGTAGGAGTGGAAAATAAGGAGGTAGCTCCTTAGCTGATGAATGGGTTAACAAACGTGTCTATTTTGCTTAGGCGAATCCTCCTGCCTGAGAGCTAATGTATGAGTAGGGGTTAACTCAGGTAAGAGACTCTTATTACATATATTCATTCTGTTTTTCAGATAAACATAGAAAACCTTTAATGTAGACATGTTTTTCGTGACAGAAGAATTATAATAGATTTATATACCCCATGTGTGAGGTTTATTCAAGATCTGACTCATTTTGTGTTCTTAAGATTGCAGATAAAACACGCTATGAGAAATTATGATATGTCTATGTGAATAAGAAATATAGAGCCATTATAATTTATATGAGGTAGTTAGTAGCATGGAAAAATGGTCACAATAAATTAAATAGGGGGAAAATGTTGTAATGGTATAAAATGGAATACAATTTTTTAAACATATACAGCATAGAAAGACTTTGCAAGATTTACATTAAAACATGAATATTGGTTGCTTAAAGGAGGGACTATAGGAGGATTTTTTTTTTGAGACAGGGTCTTGCTCTGTTCAGGCTGCAGTGCAGTGGTGTGATCATGGTTCACCGCAGCTTCAACCTCCCAGGCTCAAGTGAACCTCCCACCTCAGCCTCCCAAGTAGCTGGGATCACAAGTACACACCACCATACCTGGCTAGCACTTTTGTTTTTTTTGGTAGAGACGAGGTCTTGCTGTTACCCAGGTTGGTCTCAACCTCCTGGGCTCAAGCAATCTTCCTGCCATGGACTCCCAAAGTGCTGGAATTACAGGCGTGAACCACCATACCCAACACAACTTTTTATCTCCTCCTTTGGACTCTATTTTTGAAACTTTCTATAATGAGCATATATGCATTGCTTTTATAATCAGAATAAAGAAATATGTTATAAAAGTTTAATTGGGTGTATTGACCCTGAATGTTCTTATTCTATATTCCATGAGAGGAAAAATTAAATACAATCATAGCCTTGGGAGATTGCTTGGTGCCTTAGCAAACCGTTTCTGCCTGGACTCACAGGGGTACTCTGGGAGGGCAGCTAGAGGTACTGGGAAAAGGCCACATGGAGAAGGAACTCTCCAACTGAACTTTGTAACAATTTGAACTGATCAAGAAGCCTCCTGGCCAGAACTCAAGGGAGGGTGTTAATCTGGTGTGCAGACTCCACAGGCAGGAATAGAAGGAAAGCCATACTTGATTTCGCAGCTGGGAGGTGGGTAGCCTGGGACAAATTCTCCAGCTCTGCTCACCCACTGCCTGGAAACAGACTCAGTGCTTTTGGAGAGGGCATGGTGGAAGTGAGACAAGCCCTTTGGATTGTGTGGAGCTGGGTGAGGTCTGTGACTGTCAGCTCTCCCCCAGTTTCCCTGAAAACCTGCATGACACAGCAGAGACAGTCATAATCCTCCTAGGAATGTAACTCCATTGACCTGGGAACCTCACCCCAATCTCCCACAGCAGCTGTAGCAAGACCTGGCCAAGGAGAGTCTGAGCTCAGACACACTTAGCCCTGCCCCCACCTAATGGTCCTTCCCTACCCACCTTGGTCACTGCAGAGGGCATATACTCTTGGGAGTTCTAGGGGCCCGCCTATCACCTGTTCCTCCCCATTCGACCACAGCTGGTGCTCTCTGGAAAATGCCACCTCCTGGCAGGGGGCCAACCAGCACAAAAATAGTGCTAATGCTATTTCATAAATGATATTGAAGTTATGTTTTATGCAGTTATGGGGGAAGTGAAATATTACTATGGCATTTGCAAATTTAGAGAAGTCCTAAAGATCTTAGGTCACATCTCTTGAATATCAAGTGTCAATTCACACACCTCTAGACTGAAGATAATAATACCTGTATCTTATGATTGTGAAACCTAAATAAGATCATGTATGAAATAGGAGTGACAAAAATAAATTGAAATGTAGACGTGGTGTGACTTAATGGATTTACAGTTTGTGATTTAAGGTCAAATAATTCAGGCTGTTTGCTTTTGAAGTGGGGGTCCGTTTTTCCAAACAGAAGTCATTTAAACATAAGTAAGGATCTGTGGATACCAAGAAGCAATGATAGGAATTAATAAAGTATGCTACAGTTTAGGTTTTAATGACCTACTTGTAGACATTCCAATTAGATTCAAGTAACTTCTCTTTTTGATTATTGTATATTTTTTCTCTTTGTCTCAAGGATGTCCAGTATTGGATTTGATTCCAGTGACTTCTGTTGAGATCACATCTCTTGATTATCCTAACAGTTAACTCAACATGCTGAATTACACTTGGACTTTTTATTCCACAACAGTAAATAAAATGAAGGCCATGATTAAAGACTTTATAACAGAAGAATCTTTGAACTGTGATTGGGATTATATAATATTTATGATAGACCATATCAGCAATCAATTCTACTTTGTAAATTTATCTTTCTTAAATGGCCTACACTAACTGGCACCAAGTATTTATATAATGAATATACATGTAAAACATGACCTACATTGGCCTTGGGAACAATAGCATTTGTTGTCAGTGATTTCTCATCAGATCCTTCATTAGAATCCTATAGCATTATTGAGCACAGTTGGATGAGTATGAGATCACACTCACTGGATCTTTATTCCTTCCCAATCCTGGCTTGTCTTGACTTTTTAGTACAAAAATTCCTATCTCATTTAACCATTAGTTGGCACTCTTGGTTTTGTCCAGATGCCATATGTTTTAAAGGATTTTATTTCCTAAATGGCATTTTTAGATGGTAACTTTTTTGAAAATGTATTTACTCAGTGTTACCAGTATCAGGTTTTATACTCATAATATAGATGGCCCTTTTTAGACCTCAGATAAATTAAAGTGGAGAAAAGTTCCATTAGCCAGAATAATCTTTACCGATGAGTGGTGCTGAGGACTAAGAAATTAATGGTTGGAGGTGCTGGGAGTCAAACTCAGGGCCTTGTACATGAGAGGCACCTGTCTACCAGTGAGCTACACTCACTTACCAAGCTTGAATAATCTTTAGAAATGTATTGGTCACATAGTGTCTGTCATGCTTGAGCATTTGGCAGTATTCCATCATGAGACTGACTCATAGAGGGAAACTTTTTGAAACATTTTGTAATTGAGTATTGCATCAACTTCTCTAGTTTCCTCTTAGTTCTGCCACTTAGGACACCATTAAAATCCATTTATTGCACAGGTCAAGAGGAGGATTTTGATGCTTTCTTTTTCCAGGGACCTTGACCCCTCCTATGATAGTTCCAGATTTATAACACCATTAAGTTCAGAATTTTGCTTTGAAGTTCCAAAGTTGCCTAACTTTCCTATCAGTAAGTATGGCTCTTATTAGATTATAAAGCAATTGGGGTATGGAGGAGGGGAAGATTTATAAGTTCAAGCTATTGGTTTTCCTTAAGATGAACCATGGGTCTCCATAGCACCATACTCTTCAACCCTAATTCCTGTCAATACCCTTTCACCAAAGACCCTAGAAATGTACCTGTAGTTGAACAAATTGCATTTTGCACTCATTGCAGAGAGGGAGTATACACACCATGGAAAACCATGGGGTATCTCAGTAAGAAGGTGTTAGAAAAACCTATAATAGAGGTAGAGCTTTGGGTAATTTTGGAGAGGGTCTAAGGAAATGGACTTTGTTCTGAATTGGTTTCTGTCAGGAAGTAGAGCAATTTTACGATGGCTATCTCAGTCAAAAGGAGGCCTGGCTAGAGTAAGGATAAAACTGTAACTGGTAAAGCAGTAGCAGTTCCTCATTTTAGCCAAGAGAGGGAGGAGAGTGGTATTTTGGTGGTTGCACACAGCCGTTTTTTGTCTTACCTTATCATAGACTAGCACCGCCCTGTCTGCTGTTGATGTCCTGTGAGACAGTGTATGTCCAACAGGAAAATAACATGGTCCAGCTGCGAGCATCAGACCAGGTTCTCTGTATGTCAGGGACTGCTTTTCTCTTTCTCACTCTTTAATATTCTCCAAACTGGTAACATCATTCCTCTTTAAAAGCTCAGATTAATCAAAATTTCAGAGGTGTCAAATGATTACAAATGAGACAACCTGAATTTCTGTAATGAGCCTGTGTAATTCTATATAACAGTGAAGGGATTTGCATTTATTTGTGAGCTCGCACAATTTTACTTCAATGAACCATGCAATTTCTGTAAAGATTTTGGACCTAATGAATATAGACCCCTGTTGCTACTCTCCTGGCTTCCCCGTTAGCTAGGCTATCACCCCATTCAAGCTGCTATAACAAATACCATAGACTGAGTGGTTTCCAAACAACAAATATTTATTTCTCACAGTATGGAGGCTGAGAAGTCCAGGATCCAGGTGCCAGCAGATTTGGTGCCTGCTAAGGGCTCACTTTCTGGTTCTTAGGCACAGCCCATTCTCACTGGGTCCTCACATGGAGGAAGAGGCCTCTAACCAAGCACATTCTGTCTCAAGTTTCACGTCCTCAATCATTCAAATGCTACCTTACCTGAGACCTCCTCTATCATACAATCTAAATAGCCTTCCTTAACCTTTTCTTCTAGGGATTGATCATGGCCTGATGGAGTATTATCTTTCATTCATTTATAATTTGTCTCTTCTACCAGAATTAAAATTTCCTGGCAACAGAACTTTGTCTCTTTTGTTCTTGCTGTATCCTCAATGTCTAAAGCACTGCTTGACAGAAAATATTTGATTTTTAAAAGAAAAAGTGGAAAAAATGGCCCTGAATGAGGGAAGAGCTTGGTAACTTAGGGAACTGTCAGAGGTCAGAGTGACTAGAGAGAGATTGAGCAAGGACAGACTAGAATGAAGTGGGGTGGTGGAGCAGAGAGGCTTTCTCCAATTGTGCAGCTCAGGCTATGATAGTGACTTTGGATTTTATTCCAGTTCAATAGGAGGTCATCATAAGTTTTGACAGGGGAGTAATTTGAAGGCTGATCTGGAGTGACAAAGTGAATTGTGTCTATAGTTATGAGGCTCTTGTCTACACCTGCACTGTCCAATCCATGTTGCTATTTAAATGTAAATTAGTTAAAATGAAGTAAAATGTGACAATACCAACATTTCAAGTGCTCAGTAGCTACATGTAGCGAGTGACTACCATATTGGACAGCAAAGATATAGAAAGCTCCATCATTGCAGAAAGTTCTATTGCACTGTTTTAGACAATAGATGATGTTGCTTTAGAGGAGGATAACAATAATGGAATGCGAGTGAAGTAGACAGATCTGGAGATAGAATGGAGAGGATTTCCTGATGGATTGAATATGGAATTCAGTATGCAAATCAAGAATGACTCTTAGGTTTATGATGTGAGACACTGGAGAAAGCATTTATGGAGATGGAAAATATGACAGGGAGAAAAAGATTTATAGAGAGATATCTGTTTGGGCCATGCTAAAAACATTGCTCTGATATATCCAGATTGAGTTGCCACTAGTTAGCTAGAGATAGAACTCTTGAGCTAGTGGAGGATTTGGAGCTATAGATATCAATTTGGGACTTTTCAGTTTCTCACTAATTTAGTTATCCTTTCTCCTACATCGTCTATCTTCTCTATCATTCTCATCAGTTTCAAACATGTTCTAATATTATCTATCATTTAAAACAAACTAAAACTAATGTAAGTCAGCAATTATCCCATTTCTCTGCTTCCTTTTAAAGCAAAATTTCTCACTTTTTAAAGGGTTGATGGATTTAGGAAGTTTATGGGATCAATGGCTTAGAAGGTCATGGTGAGATTAAATAATTGTAGCAAAGAAATATTAATATACTTAGGAGGTGGTGATTTAGAAAGTGGGATGTTTGAACTAATTCCAGAGGTGTCAAATGATTACAAATTCAGAGCAGCGATAGTAAAGAATTAAAAGATAAAGGGAATCATAGTACCATAGTACTAGCTGAGTCTCACAAGTTCTTTACTTGTTGGTGTGCAATCTGGTTACTAAATATTTTGAATATCCCCCTTGGTCAAACACAAATTTAAGGAACGTTGGCAAACTGGAGTGCATCCAAAGAGCATAATGAGCAGGATGTAGAAGGGTGTGGACATCCTGGGCATGTTTACCTTGGAGAAGAGAGAAGACAGAAGGATCATAATTCTTTTTAAATATACATGGAATTCTCATGGAGAGGTTCTCAGGCCATGTACAAAACTTGTTCTGCTTAATATTATCTAATAACTTATTAAATATTTACCATTATCCAGGCATTGTTGAGCTAAGACCCAATCTCATGAAGATGAAAACTCTTAATCTTTTAACAATCTTATGTAGGTAGGTTACATTATCTTCATTTTAAATATGAGACAAGCAAGTCACAAAACTGTTAAATAAATTGCCTCCAGTGACATCGCTAATAAGTAGAAAACGTGGGACTCAACTGAAGCACTCTGTGTTCTTGGCCACTATTCTAACCACGTGGTAGTCATCACATTGATGCCTTTTGACACAAGGAGAGGAAGAACAGTCTAGAAATTAGATCAGTTTAAAAGGAGAAAATGCTGATAAGTTCCAGGTCATATCTTCAAGGCGAGCATTATATGTTTTGGATTATTTTAGAGTAAACTCTGTATTAGGTGTAATGTTCAACTTAATAATCTAGGAGCCTGTATTTAAACTAGCCCCTTTTCCAGCCACCTATCTTCAACCTACAGGCTTTATAAATGTGTTTTCTGTATTTCTGTCTAAGTCATCAATGAAATACCGTACTCGGTGGAACCAAAGACAGAATCATTTCCATACCATTTAGACCTTCCCTCCAGGTTAACATTTCTTGTATGGTTATTTAATCACCTGTGGAACTTCCTAGCCACATAATTATCTACGTACCATTTGCTGTCTGTTCACAGGGACATCACAGGCACTTTATTAAGTGCTTCATTGAAGTCAAGGTTCATTAAGTTCATCCCATTCCCCCTAGCCACCATCTAATTAGCTCTTTTAAAAAATGAAATTAGGTTAATTTAATGTGGCGTGTTAAGGATCCCATGTTGCCTTCTCATGACCACTGATTCCTCCTCCAAGTGTTCAAAAACCATCTGTCTAATAATTTGCTGTAAAAATTTTGCTGAGGTTTATTTTCGTTTAACAAATATGTATAATACTTTGTAAATACCAACTGATTTAATCCTAAGAAAATATTGTTTTTATCTACATTTTGCAGATGAGAATACTGAGGCACAGACAGAGATTGAATAACTTGCCATATAGTTAATATGGCAGGTTATTATGGAGTTATTATCTCCATTTTGCAGATGAGATTATCGAGGCACAGAGAGAGGTTGAGTAGCTTGCCATATAGTTAATAAGGGATAGAGTTGGTTCAAACCAGCAGTTTGGTTTTAGAATCTGTGCCTGTAAGCACTAAGCTATGTCCCTTCACTGACAGGACTTTGGAAACCCCTACACCTCTCTGTTTTTCTCTGTCTCCTACCTACCGCCTTATGCTCCCAAACATCCTTTTTGAAAAACAGAGTAACAGTTTCCTGTTGGGAACAGGCCCCCCAAAATCTGGCCATGAACTGGCCCCAAAACAAAATCTCTGCAACACTGTGACATCTTCATGATGGCCATGATGCCCATGCTGGAAGGTTGTGAGTTTACTGGAATGAGGGCAAGGAACACCTGGCCCACCCAGGATGGAAAACTGCTTAAAGGCGTTCTTAAACCACAAACAATAGCATAAGCGATCTGTGCCTTAAGGACACACTCCTGCTGCAGATACTAGCCAAACCCATCCCTTTATTTCGGCCCATCCCTTTGTTTCCTACAAGGAATACTTTTAGTTAATCTATAATCTATAGAAACAATGCTTATCACTGGCTTGCTGTTAATAAATACGTGAGTAAATCTCTGTTTGAGGCTCTCAGCTCTGAAGGCTGTGAGACCCCTGATTTCCCACGCCACACCTCTATATTTCTGTGTGTGTGTGTCTTTAATTCCTCTAGCGCTGCTGGGTTAGGGTCTCCCCGACCGAGCTGGTCTCGGCATTTTCCCATTTCCATTATTTTAAAACTTCCAGGTTATTTGTTGGTTCTACCCAGAACCCCTTTACTTGACATGAAAGCATCTCCAAGGTTCCCCATCACTTCCATTCCACCAGATAGAGCTGCTTTGAGGATAAGGACGATGTAGAGATTAACTACTCCCCTCCTTTCTTTCTCGGATTTCTGAGATACCGTTATCATGAAGACAAATCAATAGTGTTTCATTGTTTTATTTTAGGAGAACTTAAATGTACAGCAAATGTCCTGTTACTATCAGGACCACCTTTGTGCCAACTTCTGTGTTTCTGAATTTTAAAAGAATCATTATTGTGTTTTAGAGCAGATTGTCCCATTACTTTTGTGTCTCTGTCTAGTTATCTTCGCGCAAATGCCCTTTTTTCCTCCCATCCTTAGGATAACAGATTGCCATACAAGTGTGTACCATTTTTTCTATCAGGTCTTTCCCTTTGATCTTTTAAAAGCTATACTCTTCCATTGTGGCACTCAAATCATGAGTTCCATCCTACAAATCTTGATCTTGTATTCCTGACAATCATTCTTTTGTTAATATCAACAGTTTGGAATTTAATGTTACCTCTTTGTCCTCTTTCAGTTATGTCATTGCACAGAAAAAGTACTTTAATTATCGAATATGTCTTTCATTGCAGCTCATTTACATGGCTCCAAGAAAGAGTTTATCTTGATATCCAGTGCTGCTTACCTGACTGTGCATTTTAAGACTGATGAGTCTGAGAGAAAGAGGTTTTAAGCTTATTTTAGAAGAGATGATTCAGGAGCAATCACAGAAGAGCAATATTGAGACCCAATTTCCTATCAGTGGTAAGTAATTGCATTAAAATGTTTATTAAAGCAGATACTGCATAAGCTTTGAAGTAGAACCTGCAGCCCATTGGTTTAAGGG
Organism: Homo sapiens; assembly: GCF_000001405.40. Taxonomy (NCBI): domain Eukaryota; kingdom Metazoa; phylum Chordata; class Mammalia; order Primates; family Hominidae; genus Homo; species Homo sapiens. The sequence goes on along the minus strand of NC_000012.12, from coordinate 29,423,044 downwards.
TCACTAGTAGTCTCCCTACTAAAAAAAGAAAAGGATATCTTCATTTCAAACCATTCCTTAAGGCATAATACTGGTAGTTCCAAATGAATCATCTGAGGTAATAAAGTTAATTTGTGTATGTGCGTTTATTATTTTTAAGAAATAATGATAAACACGAAAGTCAGTCATTTGCTATTTAAATGACCCAGTGGGGACATTCAAGCCAAAACAGAGTTCATTGTATTTCCATGTCTCTCTTACCATATCTCTTCTACCAAGTAGCTACCCCTCACCCTCATAAAGTTCCCAGAAGAGAATAGATTAGCTGAACATGTACTAACTTCTCTGAATAAAATAGAAACAAACTTAATGATTTTCTACTTATCCAATCTACTTTTAAGCCATAATTTCATCAGTTGTGCTTAAGATTTAAAAACCTAATTAATTTGTTAGTTTATGCTCCCACTGATATAGTCTTCATCTTGCAAATGAATGAACATATTAGGTGAATGAAACTTTCTGTCCTTCAACAATACACATACCATCAATTAAAAACCTAATTAATTTGTTAGTAGGAGGTCCTCTTGATTAGAGTGTAATTCAGGTGGAATTCTAATGACCAACCTTCAGTGAAATGTCCTTCTTGACATCACTTTGTCTTTTTTAAGACAGGGGAATGAATGGGCTCTTTGAAGAGTCCTTGATTTGAGCCTCATCATTCTGTAGGTGAGACTTTGAATAGTTTAAGGGATGCTCATCTAATTGACCTTTCTGTCTCCATTGCTTTTATCCTTCCATATTTCATCTCTAAATTGACCCTTCATTCTCACAGTAAAAATATTTCTATTGCCTCATTTCTTTAAGTCTTCCTTTTTTGCAGGTTGGATACTAATAAAATATTGCTGTTACACATGTGTACAAACAGCCCAAAGGTCTAAGACTGAGCATATAATGTGGATTAAAATCCACCCTTAAACCTTAATGCAGTGAAAACAGTTTTGAGTAAACAACTTTTTTTCCTAAGATCTTGGATAGTCTTTTGAGGAGTTTGCATGATTTTGGCATATATATTTAAAAGGAGAAGAGAATTGATGTTTTATACATATCTGAAAAGGAAGTAGAAATGAGTTTTAACATAATATTGAATAAACAACACAAATCCACTGTGCTAGAAACTTTTTGTTTTAAATACATGTCTGGTATGAAATAGAAATCTCCAGTAAATAATTATATAAATAAGCACATATCCTAATTCTCAAATTTTTGTGTATATTTAAGAAAATTCATACTTAAAAACATCTCTTGGTTTTTAGTTACTAAAATTATTTCCTGGAGAATTTCTTTTTAAATTTGAGAATGGAATAAACACAGTGCTGGAAATTTTCCTTATATGTGTTCTTTATATATATGTTGTATTTTGAATACGTGTAGTGTAAAGTGTTTTGATAAGTCTAGATATCTGTTACACTGGAATAACACAAATAATGCCACAGAAAGAACAATGACCAATAATTTCATGATTAGATGCAATATTTTTATTTTAAAAATCAGTTTTATGTTTTGAGTATCCTAAAGATGCATATATTAATATTTTAGTTAACTTTATTGATCTTCTTATTTTAAAAGCAGTGCAAGAAAAGGTAAGTCTCATCTCTTGATCAGAATCCTAGTTTTGAACCTAAGAAATGCCTCCATTCTGAAATTTTAATAGACTTTTATAATTACTTTTATATAATGTTTTGTTATTACTTTTCTAAGGGATAACAATAGAAAACAATACAGGAAGTTGGCCAACCCAAGACAAACGTAGCATTCCAGCTGTTGACCAATTTCGAATGGAAAATTCGGACAGAAATACAAATGTGCTGCCAGCCATGCTTGGAGAGCCTAGGTTGGTTGGTAGCTGTGCTGCATCTGCAATGTCATGGCCCTGGCTAGTTAGTCTGCAGCACCCAGACAACATTATTATAGAGGCTCCCTGGCCACAAAACAGTGGGTCCTGGCAGCAGTGCATTCTAACTTTAGGTCTGTGCCTGTGCCTGTGGTGCAGGGTCTCTGAGACTGCTTGTTCAAGGGCTCACAATGGGTGTACCCATCTGCTCTCCCTATGTCACAAGAAACATTAAAGTTTATGCTCCCGCTGATATAGTCTTCACCTTGCAAATCAATGAACATATTAGGTGAATGAAACTTTCTGTCCTTCAACAATACACATACCACTAATAGTTTTTCATTTTAAAAGCTGCTTTTGGCCGGGCGCGGTGGCTCACGCCTGTAATCCCAGCACTTTGGGAGGCCGAGGCGGGTGGATCATGAGGTCAGGAGATCGAGACCATCCTGGCTAACAAGGTGAAACCCGTCTCTACTAAAAATACAAAAAATTAGCCGGGCGCGGTGGCGGGCGCCTGTAGTCCCAGCTACTCGGGAGGCTGAGGCAGGAGAATGGCGTGAACCCGGGAAGCGGAGCTTGCAGTGAGCCGAGATTGCGCCACTGCAGTCCGCAGTCCGGCCTGGGCGACAGAGCGAGACTCCGTCTCAAAAAAAAAAAAAAAAAAAAAAAAAAAAAAAAAAAAAAAAAAAAAGCTGCTTTTTCCTTCCAGCTCTTTTTAAAATAAGTGACTAACAATGCTGCCCTCTCTTTCCTCATCTATAAAATGGAGATAATGATGTCTTAACATGTGTGCATCAGCTTCTGAACATATCACCTAGAGCACTGGAGTTGCTAAACGGTGGGTCTCCTTCCTCCTTGCTCTCCTCTACTGACTGATCATCATACCTGCTCCCAAAATAAATATAGAAAGTTCTGAAAAATTTTAAAGAATGCTCTTGGAAAGAAAATTTTTTCTTTGATTTCATCTGAATCTTGTTTCCATGTGATATTGAGACATTATCTGAAAATTCCTTCCTCAGTTTAAAGGTTGCTCAGTACTAAAATTCTGATATTTCTAATATTGGTCTCCCAGAAGTAGTGAGATGGTTGAGAACATCACATGATGTCCCATAGCCAAATGATTAAATATAATGTTTTCAGTGTCTTCAAAGTAGCAGTTCCTTCTATCTGCTCAAATAACTTGGTGAGCAGGACCCTTCAGTGAATCAAAACCTCATTTTCTTTATCATCCCCCAACTTTACTCTTGAATAGGTAAATCTCAAGAAGTCATCCTTATAAGGCAATTTTCAGACTTTCATGTGTTCAAAACTGTTTGGGGAGTTTGCAATCAAATTTTAGAATCATAATTTTGAGTTTTGATTTGATGAGTTACATCAGATTCTAAATTTTTAAGGCAATGCCAGACTTAATGCATAGTTCCTAGACACTTCTTTGAAAACCATTTTACAGGGAGTAAATATAACTTTCAGAATATCTTTCAGAGGCCATTATATAAGTGTATAACATCTATTATTATAATTGTAATAATGCACAGAATCATTATCTTGAGGCATCATGCATCTTAAAAATCATATTTCGTTGGCCAGGCGCAGTGGCTCATGCCTGTAATCCCAGCACTTCGAGAGGCCAAGGCAGGTGGATCATGAGGTCAGGAGATCGAGACCATCCTGGCTAACACGGTGAAACCCTGTCTCTACTAAAAATTAAAAAAAAAAAAAATTAGCCGGGCATGGTGGCGGGCACCTGTAGTCCCAGCTACTCGGGAGGCTGAGGCAGGAGAATGGCATGAACCTGGGAGGCGGAGCTTGCAGTGATCCCAAATTGTGCCACTGCACTCCAGCCTGGGTGACAGAATGAGATTCCATCTCAAAAAAAAAAAATCATACTTTGTTTAGTATTATGGAGGAAAGAAAATATATACATTAAAATTTTTCTCAGGGATTAAAGTTATTAAGAGAAATCCCTATTTTCCAAGAATTCAAGACAATAAAATTTTTAATATAGATTAGAAATGTAGACTGGGCATGGTGGTTCACACCTGTAATCCTAGCACTTTGGGAAATGAAGACATGAGGATCACTTTGGGCTGGGAGTTTGAGATCAGCCTGGGCAACATAGTAAGACCTCCATCTCTACAAAAAACTAAAAAAAATTAGCTGGGCATAGTGGTGTGGGCTTGTAGTCCCAGCAAATCAGGAGGCTGAAGACAGAATCACGTGAGCCCAGAGTTTGAGGCTGCAGTGAGCTATGATTATACCTGTGTACTCCAGATTGGTGATAGTGCAATACCATATCTCTAATTCTAAAAAGAACAAAGAGAAATGTAAAATAATATATTTTTAGTAATTATGAAAAATGACTATGACCTCATTAAAAGAAATGTCTATTTCCTCACTCCCTTATGACAAATACTGTCACAGACAACCTGGTAACAGAAAGAAGTTACCTCTGGAACATGGGAAGCAGTGATTTGATACCAGTGAAACCTCTCTATACTCACCTTGGCTTTTCACAGTTTTGTCCTCATGATGATCTATACTGTTGCATCTGGAAAAACGTATTGAATTTGGTCTGTATGGGTAACTCTTCTATATTTTGAACCTTTGCCATACAGCTTAATATCTTTCATCTTGCTGAGAAGTGCTACACATACTTCTGAAGTTAAATAATTATTTCAAAACTTCCTTATATTTATGCCACTTTCTCTAAAAGTTGAAGTATCTGTATAAACACATACTTTCATGGGTTTTTAATTGATGGAGGTCTACAGAAGATTTCAAAGAAATTAATTTTTAATTTTGATTCTTTTCCTATGAAGTTACTCCAAATACTTAGGAATTTGAAGCATGAGATGTTCAATTTTCTATACTTTCATGACCTAGTAAAATCCTCTTCTTGCTTAATGGTTACTGAAACTAAAGCTAATGTGAAAACTGGGTGAGGAATTGTTACTCTGGCTCTGTCATGTAGTAGTCATGCAATCTTGGGCAGGTTATTTAGCTTTCCTGTGCCTCAGCTTTATTATTAATAGAAAGGAATAACAGTACCCTGCCCACCTACTTAGCACAGGTGAACATTCAGTGAGAAAACATACTGCGGGAACTGTAACTAAGACTTCTCCACTCTCAAGCCCATGCCTTTCCATGGACACACAGGGGTCTGTAACCAGTTTCTACATTCTTTAACTGTTCCTCTGCCAGTAGCTTCACCTCCCTTTTGCTGTCTTTTCAATGCTTCCATCCTGCAAACCATTAATCATAGCCCATCATTTGCTTTCTGTTCTTTTATAACCAAGTCAGCAAGAACGTTTAGAACAGTGCTTCTTAATCTTGGCTGTACAGTGTAATCTCTGGGTTGCTTAAAACACACACAGACACAGACACACACACACACACACACACACACACACACACTTGTAGGCCAGGTTGCATTTTGGACAAATTAAGTCACAATCTCAGGGATAGAGAGTTGGCATCAGCATTTACCCCCTCCTTATCTTGCTTTATGCATTTGATGTTAATTAAACTTATATTGAAATAATTTTAGATTTACATGCAGTTTAAGAAATAGTACAGGCACCCAATATACTCTTTACCTAGTTTCCCCCACTGATAATATCTTATAGGATATTGATACAATCAAGATATAGAACATTTCTATCAATCACCCCAAGGATTCCTAGTGTTGCCTTTTTTTTTTTTTTTTTTTTTTTTGAGACGGAGTGTTTCTGTCACCCAGGCTGGAGTGCAGTGGCACAATCTTGGCTCACTGCAACCTCTACCTCCAGGGTTCAAGCAATTCTCCTGTCTCAGCCTCCCGAGTAGCTGAGACTACAGGTGCATGCCACCATGCCTGGCTAAGTTTTTGTATTTTTAGTAGAGATGGGGTTTCACCATATTGGTCAGGTTTGTCAGGTTGGTCTCGAACTCCTGACCTCAGGTGATCCACCCGCCTTGGCCTCTCAAAGTGTTGCTCTTTTATAGCAAAACCCACTTCACCCTTTCCCAGATCCCTGGCAACCACTAATCTATTCTCTATTTCTAGAATTTTGTTATTTCAAGAGTATTTAATCAATGGAGCTGCATAGTATGTAACCTTTTGGGATTGACTTTTTCCACTCAGCACAGTCCCCTGGAGATTTATCCAAGTTGTACTGTGCTTGTTCAATAGTTCTTTCCTTTTGATAGTTCATTCCTTTTAATACATGAATAGCATTCCATGGTATGAATGTACCACAGTTTGTTTAATGGTTCTTCTGTCAAAGCATATCTAGGTTGTTTCCAGCTCTGGGCTATTACAAATACAGCTCCTGTGGAAATTTGTGTACAAGTTTTTGTGTGGACATGTGTTTTCATTTTGGTGGGATAAATGTCCAAGAGTGTAATTTCTGGGTTATATGGAAATTGCATGTTTAGTTTTGTAATAAACTAAGCTGTTTTTCCATGGTAGTTTTACCATTTTATATTCCCACCAGCAATGTGTGAGTGACCTAGTTTTTCTGCATCCTCACTAGCATTTGCCATTGTCATTCTTTTTTAAAAAAATGTTAGCCATTCTGATAGGTGTGTAGTGGTAGTGATATCTTATTGTATTTGCCTAATGGCTAATGGTATCTAACAATGTTTCATTTACTTACTTAATATTTTTTAACCTCTTCAGTGACAAGCCCCTTCATATCTTTAGCCTATTTTCCAATTGAATTGTTTTCTTACTGTGCGGAGTTTGAGGATTCTTTATATATTCTAGCCACTAATCCTTTGTCAAATACATGGTTTGCAGATGTTCCTCCCAGTCTTAGCTTGTCTCTTCATCCTCTTAACAGAGTCTTTCACAAGGCAAAACTTTTAATTTAGATGAAGTCCAATTGCTCCGTTCAAAAAAAAAAGCTTCTCCTTTTGGTGTCAAGTCTAAGTATTCTTTGTCCATCCCTAGATTTTTTCCTTTGCTCTTCCTAAAAGTTCTATAGCCTTAGCCTTACACTTTTACATTTAATTTCATGATCCTTTCCAGTTAATTTTTGTATAATGTGTAAGGTTTAGGTTGAAGTTCCTTTCTCTCTTTTTCTCTCTATCCTTTCCTTTTTCCTTTTTTTTTTGCTTTTTTTGTGGTCTAAGGGATAGCCAGTTGCTCTAACACCATCTGTTGAATTGCTTTTGTGCCTTTGCCATAAATAAAGTGAGCATATTTGTGTAGGTTTATTTCTGGGATCTTTTTTTTTGTTGAGCTATGTTTCTATCCTTTCACATACTACTACATATTATTGTACCTACATAGTAGGCTTTATATGGAAAAGTGATTTCTTCCAATTTATTCTTGGTGAAGATTGTTTTAGATATGCTAAGGTCTGTGCTTTCTCGTATAAATTTTAAAATAAGCTTGCTATGTCTACAACAGCCCTTGCTGTGATTTTGATAGAAATTGCATTAAAGCTATAGCTCAGTTTGGGGAGAATTCACATATTTACTATATGAGTCTTCCAATCCATGAACAATATGTCTCTCCACTTATTTAGATCTTCTTTGATTTCCATCTCCAGAATTTTGCAATTTTCAGCATACAGATCTTGTACCTGTTTTGCTAAGTGTATACCTAAGTATTGCATTGTCTTCATTGTGGTTGTAAATGGTATTTTGTTAGGGTTCAACATGAAATGTGATTGACTTCTTTGTGTTGACCTTATATCCTGGTCCTTCCTGAACCTAGCAGTGGTATTTTATAAATTTCTCGTGGAAATTTTAATGTGCAGCCAAGGTTAAGAAGCATTCTTTTAGACAAAGACCAGTGGTGATATTTAGTGCCCTTAAAATCTTGTGGTTTCCAATTTCAATACCATTTAGCAATCCTTGGGTGTATGCCTGCATGATTCTGTCTTCTAATATCCACAGTCGTCATTACAAACGTTCCCCCTTCTTTTCAGCCCTTCTTTCCTTACTTTCTTATCTTGATCCTTTTTCCTGTTCTCCGAGGACTGTGCTTCCTACTTAACACCACCTGATACCAACAGTAACATAAGATTTTGTTTCTCTTCCCTCTAAGAATTTAGTAACTTATCTATAACTGTACCTATTCATTTCTTTCCACTGGGAAGAGTGAGAGATGACTTTTTTCCCATTAAAGACAAGACACTTCCCACCTGTAATTTCCAGCATCATTACCTTTATGTGAATATTTGGGCATACTTCTTTCATGTATTTCCTGTACTAGTCGTTTGTATTTAAGTAGTTGTAATAATATACCTATTGTAAGTTTTATTTTATTGTATATTTTCATTTATGATTGTCAGCATTGCTTCATAATATTAAAGACTTTTAAAATATAATTAATTTTAATGGATACATGGTAGCCTTTCCACAATTCATATGAAAATGGATTGTTTCCTTTTTAAAAAAATTTTAATAATGCTGGATTGACTATCCTTGTATATATATTTTTTTTTTCCAGGTCTAGGATTGCCTTAAAATAAACTTCCCAGAAGTAGAATTGCTAGATTTAGGGTAAAAATATTTTAAAGATTCTTGACATAGTTCTAAATTATAAACATAGTTGGGTGGACTGTAAGTTGATACATCCTTTTTTGTCTTTTCAAAAGTCAGGCAATGTAGCAATAGTTGCTAGTTTTTAAAGTACATGCTTCATGGCCCAGCAATTCTACTTTCCAGGAATAATGGCACAACTGCACAGATTTATTTTCTGGAATGCTTGCTGCAGCTCTTAAGCAAAAAACAGAAAATAGTCTAAATGTTCATCAGTGGGATTTAATCAATTGTGATACATTCATTAACTGAATGATATGAGTTGATGTGATCATAATCTGGTAAATGAAAAAAATCAGAATAAGAAAAGCAGTTGGCAGGCTGGACACTCTTATGCCTGTAATCCCAGCACTTTGGGAGGCTGAGGGGGGTGGATCACCTGAGGTCAGGAGTTCAAGACCAGCCTGGCCAACATGGTGAAACACCATCTATACTAAAAATACAAAAATTAGCAGGGCATAATGGTGGGCTCCTGTAATCCCAGCTACTCGGGAGACTGAGGCAGGAGAATCACTTGAACCTGGAAGGTGGAGGTAGAGGTTGCAGTCAGCCGAGATTGTGCCACTACACTCCAGCCTGGGTGACAGAGCAATACTCCAAAAAAAAAAAAAAAAAAAAAAGAGAGAGAGAGAGGAGAAAAGCCAGCTGCTGGTTAAAAAACATATGTTGGCAGAGGGAAAACGGTTTAGCTCAAGAAAATTTGGCAGAAAGTGAAATGATAGAGCAATGATTATCTGCAAAGGCAGCATAACGTAAAAGATTTGGATGTGCATAGGCAGGTGAGAAGGAAAATAATTTATACTTCAAAGAGTTTATACAATTTTTTTAAGAACAGTAAAAATAAAAGAACAAATCATTGAAATAAATGATCCAGGATAGCAGATAGGCTGAAGCATTAAAGTATGTAAACGTCTAAATCAAAATATAATAAAACAGCATGGGAAAACCAATGTGTGTGTGTGTGTGTGTGTATGTGTGTAATACACACAGACACATACATAAATGCACATTGTTTATATATAAACACATTTTGGTGATAAGATAAAAATGTGAATGTTTAAATACATAATATATCAATATATTTTATGATACATCTGGGAAGAAAGAATAAATATAAAAATATGTATTAGATATAAAAATACTTGAAAAGTTTAAAGTACTGCAAATGTGATTCTTCCCCATTCCTCACATGATGAAGTCAAAGAAGGAAGAGAGTTATATTTTCTCCACTGTCATTTCAGATTCAACAAGGTGATGTCCTAGAGGCACATGGAAAAAGGGCAGATGTATTTTTAAAAAATGATTATGGATGAGAAACCAAGAGCTTCACATCTGAGTGTAGGGCATATGTTCCTATTGTCGTGGGAGGATATGGTAATACCTGGAGCAAACTGGTAACATATAAATTGGGCTGATCCCTTTTGAGTAATAGATAGTATTTTCTGGAAGACTTAATCACAGCATTTAAAAAAGTAATGTTTGCCAGGTGCAGGGCTCACACCTATAATCTCAACACTTTGGGAGGCTGAGGCAAAAGGATCATTTGAGGCCAGGAGTTTGAGACCAGCTCAGGCAAAATGGCAAGATCTCATCTCCAAAAGAAAAAAAAAAAAAAAGAATTAGCTGGATGTGATAGTGCATGCCAGTAGTATTATACTAGTTAGTTAGTAGGCTTAGGAGGAGGCAGGATCATTTGAGCCAGGAGTTAGAGTCTACAGTGAGCTACTACTGCACTACTGCACTCTAGTCTGGATGACAGCGTGAGACTTTGTTTCCAAAAGAGTAGGGGTTACTGTTAAGTCAAAGTAGCTATTTCTAGAGCTGTCACTGAAGAGCAAACAACATAGACAATATTAACATCAATCCTATAGATTAAATGATATTTACCTTTTTCTTTAACGTCCTTTTTAATTAGGAGAGTTTTCACTACTAATCTGGTGCCAGAGGAAGATGATAAAATAAATTGACTTTACATGTATGACTGCTGGATGGGGAACAACTGAACTTCACAGTGAGTATATGTACCACCTCCTCCAATGTTAGAATCCAAACAAATATATGTGACATCTAAGTGTACTCTGTTTGTTCACTTTCAGTTTTTCTCTATTTTTAATACGAATAATGGTGGGAAAAGTCTTTTAAAATAATGGATCTAAAGGTGACTTCCTGGGGAGGAGCCAAGATGGCCGAATAGGAACAGCTCCAGTCTACAGCTCCCAGCGTGAGTGACGCAGAAGACGGGTGATTTCTGCATTTCCATCTGAGGTACCGGGTTCATCTCACTAGGGAGTGCCAGACAGTGGGCGCGGGTCAGTGGGTGCAGCTCACCGTGCGCAGCTCACCGTGCGTGAGCCGAAGCAGAGTGAGGCATTGCCTCACTCGGGAAGTGCAAGGAGTCAGGGAGTTCCCTTTTCTAGTCAAAGAAAGGGGTGAAAGAAGGCACCTGGAAAATCGGGTCACTCCTGCCCAAGTACTGCGCTTTTCCAACGGGCTTAAAAAACGGCGCACCAGGAGATTATATCCCGCACCTGGCTCAGAGGGTCCTACGCCCATGGAGTCTCGCTGATTGCTAGCACAGCAGTCTGAGATCAAACAGCAAGGCGGCAGAGAGGCTGGGGGAGGGGTGCCCGCCATTGCCCAGGCTTGCTTAGGTAAATAAAGCAGCGGGGAAGCTTGAACTGGGTGGAGCCCAACACAGCTCAAGGAGGCCTGCCTGCCTCTGTAGGCTCCACCTCTGGGGGCAGGGCACAGACAAACAAAAAGACAGCAGTAACCTCTGCAGACTGAAATGTCCCTGTCTGGCAGCTTTGAAGAGAGCAGTGGTTCTCCCAGCATGCAGCTGGATATCTGAGAACAGGCAGACTGCCTCCTCAAGTGGGTCCCTGACCTCTGACCCCTGAGCAGCCTAACTAGGAGGCACCCCCCAGTAGGGGCAGACTGACACTTCACACGGCCGGGTACTCCTCTGAGACAAAACTTCCAGAGGAACGATCAGACAGCAGAATTTACGGTTCACGAAAAACCGCTGTTCTGCAAACACCGCTGCTGATACCCAGGCAAACAGGGTCTGGAGTGGACCTCTAGCAAGCTCCAACAGACCTGCAGCTGAGAGTCCTGTCTGTTAGAAGGAAAACTAACAAACGGAAAGGACATCCACACCAAAAACCCATCTGTACATCCCCATCATCAAAGACCAAAAGTAGATAAAACCACAAAGATGGGGAAAAAACAGAGCAGAAAAACTGGAAACTCTAAAAAGCAGAGCACCTCTCCTCCTCCAAAGGAACGCAGTTCCTCACCAGCAATGGAACGAAGCTGGATGGAGAATGACTTTGACGAGTTGAGAGTAGAAGGCTTCAGATGCTCAAACTACGAGCTACAGGAGGAAATTCAAACCAAAGGCAAAGAAGTTAAAAACTTTGAAAAAAATTTAGACGAATGTATAACTAGAATAACCAATACAGAGAATTGCTTAAAGGAGCTGACGGAGCTGAAAGCCAAGGCTCGAGAACTACGGGAAGAATGCAGAAGCCTCAGGAGCTGATGCGATCAACTGGAAGAAAGGGTATCAGCGATGGAAGATGAAATGAATGAAATGAAGTGAGACGGGAAGTTTAGAGAAAAAAGAATAAAAAAAACTAAGCCTCCAAGAAATATGGGACTATGTGAAAAGACCAAATCTATGTCTGATTGGTGTACCTGAAGGTGACGGGGAGAATGGAACCAAGATGGAAAACACTCTGCAGGATATTATCCAGGAGAACTTCCCCAATCTAGCAACGCAGGCCAACATTCAGATTCAGGAAATACAGAGAACACCACAAAGATACTCCTCAAGAAGAGCAACTCCAAGAAACATAATTGTCAGATTCACCAAAGTTGGAATGAAGGAAAAAATGTTAAGGGCAGCCAGAGAGAAAGGTCGGGTTACCCACAAAGGGAAGCCCATCAGACTAACAGATGATCTCTCGGCAGAAACTCTACAAGCCAGAAGAGAGTGGGGGCCAATATTCAACATTCTTAAAGAAAAGAACTTTCAACCCAGAAATTTCATATCCAGCCAAACTAAGCTTCATGAGTGAAGGAGAAATAAAATACTTTACAGACAAGCAAATGCTGACAGATTTTGTCACCACCAGCCCTGACCTAAAAGAGCTCCTGAAGGAAGCACTAAACATGGAAAGGAACAACCGGTATCAGCCGCTGCAAAATCATGCCAAAATGTAAAGACCATCAAGACTAGGAAGAAACTGCATCAACTAACGAGCAAAATAACCAGCTAACATCATAATGACAGGATCAAATTCACACATAAAAATATTAACTTTAAATATAAATGGACTAAATGCTCCAATTAAAAGACAAAGACTGGCAAATTGGATAAAGAGTCAAGACCCATCAGTGTGCTGTATTCAGGAAACCCATCTCACACGCAGAGACACACATAGGCTCAAAAATAAAGGGATGGAGGAAGATCTACCAAGCAAATGGAAAACAAAAAAAGGCAGGGGTTGCAATCCTAGTCTCTGATAAAACAGACTTTAAACCAACAAAGATCAAAAGAGACAAAAAAGGCCATTACATAATGGTAAAGGGATCAATTCAACAAGAAGAGCTAATTGCCCTAAATATATACGCACCCAATACAGGAGCACCCAGATTCATAAAGCAAGTCCTGAGTGACCTACAAAGAAACTTAGACTCCCACACACCAATAATGGGAGACTTTAACACCCCACTGTCAACAGTAGACAGATCGATGAGACAGAAAGTTGACAAGGATACCCAGGAATTGAACTCAGCTCTGCACCAAGCAGACCTCATAGACATCTACAGAACTCTCCACCCCAAATCAACAGAATATACATTTTTTTCAGCACCACACCACACCTATTCCAAAATTGACAACATAATTGGAAGTAAAGCTCTCCTCAGCAAATGTAAAGGAACAGAAATTATAACAAACTCTCTCTCAGACCACAGTGCAATCAAACTAGAACTCAGGATTAAGAAACTCACTCAAAACCACTCAACTACAGAGAAACTGAACAACCTGCTCCTGAATGACTACTGGGTACATAACGAAATGAAGGCAGAAATAAAGATGTTCTCTGAAACCAATGAGAACAAAGACACAACATACCAGAATCTCTGGGACACATTCAAAGCAGTGTGTAGAGGGAAATTTATAGCACTAAATGCCCACAAGAGAAAGCAGGAAAGATCCAAAATTGACACCCTAACATCACAATTAAAAGAACTAGAAAAGTAAGAGCAAATACATTCAAAAGCTAGCAGAAGGCAAGAAATAACTAAAAATAGAGCAGAACTGAAGGAAATAGAAACACAAAAAACCCTTCAAAACATTAATGAATCCAGGAGCTGGTTTTTTGAAAGGATCAACAAATTTGATAGACCGCTAGCAAGACTAATAAAGAAAAAAGAGAGAAGAATCAAATAGACGCAATAAAAAATGATAAAGGGGATATCACCACGGATCCCACAGAAATACAAACTACCATCAGAGATTACTACAAACACCTCTACGCAAATAAACTAGAAAATTTAGAAGAAATGGATAAATTCCTCGACACATACACTCTCCCAAGACTAAACCAGGAAGAAGTTGAATCTCTGAATAGACCAATAACAGGAGCTGAAATTGTGGCAATAATCAATAGCTTACCAACCAAAAAGAGTCCAGGACCAGATGGATTCACAGCCAAATTCTACTGGAGGTACAAGGAGGAACTGGTACCATTCCTTCTGAAACTATTCCAATCAATAGAAAAAGAGGGAATCCTCCCTAACTCATGTTATGAGGCCAGCATCATCCTGATACCAAAGCCTGGCAGAGACACAACAAAAAAAGAGAATTTTAGACCAATATCCTTGATGAACATTGATGCAAAAATCCTCAATAAAATACTGGCAAACCGAATCCAGCAGCACATCAAAAAGCTTATCCACCATGATCAAGTGGGCTTCATCCCTGGGATGCAAGGCTGGTTCAATATATGCAAATCAATAAATGTAATCCAGCATATAAACAGAACCAAAGACAAAAACCACATGATTATCTCAATAGATGCAGAAAAGGCCTTTGACAAAATTCAACAACCCTTCATGCTAAAAACTCTCAATAAATTAGGTATTGATGGGATGTATCTCAAAATAATAAGAGCTATCTATGACAAACCCACAGCCAATATCATACTGAATGGGCAAAAACTGGAAGCATTCCCTTTGAAAACTGGCACAAGACAGGGATGTCCTCTCTCACCACTCCTATTCAACACAGTGTTGGAAGTTCTGGCCAGGGCAATTAGGTAGGAGAAGGAAATAAAGGGTATTCAATTAGGAAAAGAGGAAGTCAAATTGTCCCTGTTTGCAGACAACATGATTGTATATCTAGAAAACCCCATTGTCTCAGCCCAAAATCTCCTTAAGCTGATAAGCAACTTCAGCAAAGTCTCAGGATACAAAATCAATGTACAAAAATCACAAGCATTCTTATACACCAATAACAGACAAACAGAGAGCCAAATCATGAGTGAACTCCCATTCACAACTGCTTTAAAGAGAATAAAATACCTAGGAATCCAACTTACAAGGGATGTGAAGGACCTCTTCAAGGAGAACTACAAACCACTGCTCAAGGAAATAAAAGAGGATACAAACAAATGGAAGAACATTCCATGCTCATGGGTAGGAAGAATCAATATCTTGAAAATGGCCACACTGCCCAAGGTAATTTATAGATTCAATGCCATCCCCATCAAGCTACTAATGACTTTCTTCACAGAATTGGAAAAAACTACTTTAAAGTTCATATGGAACCAAAAAAGAGCCCGCATAGCCAAGTCAATCCTAAACCAAAAGAACAAAGCTGGAGGCATCACACTACCTGACTTCAAACTATACTACAAGGCTACAGTAACCAAAACAGCATGGTACTGGCACCAAAACAGAGATAGAGACCAATGGAACAGAACAGAGCCCTCAGAAACAATGCTGCATATCTACAACTATCTGATCTTTGACAAACCTGACAAAAACAAGCAATGGGGAACGGATTCCCTATTTAATAAATGGTGCTGGGAAAACTGGCTAGCCATATGGAGAAAGCTGAAACTGGATCCCTTCCTTACACCTTATACAAAAATTAATTCAAGATGGATTAAAGACTTACACATTAGAGCTAAAACCATAAAAACCCTAGAAGAAAACCTAGGCAATACCATTCAGTACATAGGCATGGGCAAGGACTTCATGTCTGAAACACCAAAAGCAATGGCAACAAAAGCCAAAATTGACGAATGGGATCTAATTAAACTAAAGAGCTTCTGCACAGCGAAAGAAACTACCATCAGAGTGAACAGGCAACCCACAAAATGGGAGAAAATTTTCGCAACCTACTCATCTGACAAAGGGCTAATATCCAGAATCTACAATGAACTCAAACAAATTTACAAGAAAAAAACAAACAACCCCATCAAGAAGTGGGCGAAGGACATGAACAGACACTTCTCAAAAGAAGACATTTATGCAGCCAAAAAACACATGAAAAAATACTCATCATCACTGGCCATCAGAGAAACGCAAATCAAAACCACAACGAGATACCATCTCACACCAGTTAGAATGGCAATCATTAAAAAGTCAGGAAACAACAGGTGCTGGAGAGGATGTGGAGAAATAGGAACACTTTTACACTGTTGGTGGGACTGTAAACTAGTTCAACCATTGTGGAAGTCAGTGTGGCGATTCCTCAGGGATCTAGAACTAGAAATACCATTTGACCCAGCCATCCCATTACTGGGTATATACCCAAAGGACTATAAATCATGCTGCTATAAAGACACATGCACACGTATGTTTATTGCGGCACTATTCACAATAGCAAAGACTTGGAACCAACCCAAATGTCCAACAATGATAGACTGGATTAAGAAAATGTGGCACATATACACCATGGAATACTATGCAGCCATAAAAAATGATGAGTTCATGTCCTTTGTAGGGACATGGATGAAACTGGAAATCATCATTCTCAGTAAACTATCACAAGAACAAAAAACCAAACACCGTATATTCTCACTCATAGGTGGGAACTGAACAATGAGAACATATGGACACAGGAAGGGGAACATCACACTCTGGGGACTGTTGTGGGGTTGGAGGGGAGGGATAGCATTGGGAGATATACCTAATGCTAGATGACAAGTTAGTGGGTGCAGCGCAGCAGCATGGCACATGTATACGTATGTAATTAACCTGCACATTGTGCACATGTACCCTAAAACTTAAAGTATAATAATAAAAATAAATAAATAAATAAAATAAAGGTGACTTCCTGGGTTTTAGGTCATTATATTCATGAATACCAGTTTATTGATACTTATAAAAACATGTATTGAAGAATATCTAGTGATTTTATTACCTAATATTTGTAAGTCTCATTTCTATGTAATTACTCTCCAATTGTACTCTAAACATACACAAACTCAGACACACATACACAATTGTTTTTATAACAGTGAAAACTCATACTTGAAGGTATCAGCCAATTTCTAATGATGTGAGGCATTTTTCTGAAATGATGGATTGGTATGAATGGTAAATGGGTGGAAAAGATTATGTGAAAATAACTAGCCCATGTGAAGGTCAACCCATGAGTTTGGTTTCACTCCTACTGTATTGTACAACTGAGTTAACAAGTTACAAATATCCAATAGACTAGAGTAAATCAGAATGTCGTTTCCATTGTCAACCTCTAAACATTATGTTTATTCGGCAAAGTCAAGTCAAAAGAATGAGATCACAATGAAACCAAGGGAATCAAGTATAGGCTTAACATTTAAAAATGAATTGTACTGATTGCATCATCAAAAACTGATTTGGTTCTAAACTTTTTCCTTCTATGAAGTGATATTATTTTTCTCTCATCCTAGAACCGTAGTGAAGATAAAAAGAATCCATACAAAATAGTTTTTGGAGTTTCTGTTGTATAAGCTAAAGTAGAATAATATTAGGTCTTTACAAATCACCTAACAACATCATTACAGCGTCAGAGAGAAAAATGGTGGGATTTACCCCTAAGAGTCTGCAATCCGTGTTTTAGCCTTTAAAAGCATTTGCCTAGGTTTATATGTATTTTTATTCTTTTTGTGCTAGAGGATGAATTTTCTAACATGGTATAACAGGCAAAGGTACCTCTTGGCAAAGCTACCAGGGTATGGATATTTAAAAACACCAATATATTCAGAAGAGCTGCAGGATCATCTTCCTGCATGGTAATTCAAGGATTGCATTGATGAGTCTGGGAGTTTTCTTTTTAGTATGTCTCACAAACTGGCATTTGCTGATTCATAAAGAGGTATAGATGCATGGTAGTTTTAAAAAGAAAGGCAAGAAGAATAAATACATTGTTAAGTTACCTTAAAAACAAATGAACCGTAATTAGTAATTTGATAGTTGAAGTGAACTCAGTTCTCAAAAGGAATTAGTCAATACTTGGATGAATTATGTGTAATTGCTGATATTCAATGGTTTTTGACCTACAAACATGATCATTTCTTTTGTTTTTTTTTTTTTTTTTTTTTTTTTTTTTTTTTTTGAGGTGGAGTGTTGCACTATCTCCTGGGCTGGAGTACAATGGTGCCATCTCAGCTCACTGCAACCTCCGCCTCCTGGGTTCACGTGATTCTCCTGCCTCAGCGTCCCGAGTAGCTGGAATTACAGGCACACACCACCACACCCAGCTAATTTTTTGCATTTTTAGTAGCAACGGGGTTTCCCTATGTTGGCCAGACTGGTCTCGAACTTCTGACCTCGTGGTTCGCCTGCCTCAGCCTCCCAAAGTGCTGGAATTACAGGCGTGACCCACCGCGCCCGGCTGATCATTTCTTATGATTCAGCTGCATAGCTGAATTAGGTGGCTTAATGCACCTACTTCTAGTAACACTGAAAACATAAAGGAGTTTTCATGTCACTGAAAACCATCACCTGGCCATTTATATAGATGCTTGAAAGTTTCTTCATGGCAGAGTCTACAGTCAGCATTAAGTGAATTTACACTAACTTATCTTTCAGTCTCTCCTTGAAGGTATAGATTTTAATCCAGTTCAGAGATCTGTTGCATCAGCCCACTACCTGAGTGGCCATAGTTTTCTATTAGGTTGTGAGCAGAAATCAGCGAGATAAAGAGAACAACCTGTGCCCTGCCTGACCATCCTCTGCAGTTGGGGTTAATGTCGGCCAGGAATCAGGCATTTGGGAGAACTTCTCTTTTTGCTGGTTGCAGGGAGATTCTGGAAGACCACCGCAATGTGCCCGGCATGGGAAGTACAAGCTTGTTGACATTGTGAGCTGAGGCAGCAGTCACTGCCATCCCACTGCACCACCTTCACAAGAATTTCTGCCTGCAGGGATTGGATCACATCTGCCACTAGAGGAGAAGTGAGATCACTGAAAGAGCAGTGTGGTACAACTGTGATTACAAATGGGAAAAGAAATGCATAACAGTACACCTGAAAAATGAATGTCTTTTCAGTGCTGAAATATTCAGTGTCACTTCCGCCCATCATTATCATTGCAGAGGTTGGTGTTGGTGTGTTTGTACATTCAATATTAAACATTGGTCACAGAAAGTTAATGTTGTTTCATGCCTCCTGGGAACTTACAGTTTGAATCATTCAATTCATATCTTGCATACCATGTGTATGCTGTATATTTTGAATACCATTATATACAATTGTACTGTTTTTTTCTACTTTGGCAAACACTGGAAGATCAGAAGGGCAATATTATTAAATCCATATAATTCTTAACTTTACTCACAGGGATACAGGCCAGAAACTGCTGTGAGCACAAATAGATAGGAAAGGTCCCTGCCAGTTTCACAATTGTGATGAGCAGTGGACATTTAAGAGATTATTTATCAGGCACGTCAATTGACCTTAACATTTTAGGATATTTCATTTGTTTATAAGGTATTTAATTTATCTGAGACTCAGGTTGTCTCAATCCCCCTACCCCTCTAAGCTGTAGCCAAGAATCAGGGAGGAACTGAGGAAGGTCCCTGAGCCAGAAGTCTAGATGCCAAAGTCTGTCACAGAAATCTGCAATATAAAATGAATAGGAGCCTGAGGCAACTTTTTTTTCTTATTTTACACATTGCACCAAAATGTATCATTTGGTTTCTAAGAATGCAGCATTCCAAAAGGGCGTATGGTTCAGCTTTAGGTAAACACATTGATTATCAAATGACACAGCAATTCATAAGGAAATAGAAAATTTACATATATATATTCAAACAACTTTGAAAAGCATAATATTCAGGATTTCTTTCCTATAGAACTCAATATTGTGATTAAATTATAAAAGTTTGAATTATTAAGCTGCCATTTCTGTAGATTAAAAAGTTTGAAAATTAGCTACTTTATATGATTCAGCCTAATAATTGTAATTACAATAATACATCAAGATGTTAGCTTTAGTACATCCACATTATGAAAATTTTGCTCTTCAAAATTAAAGTCAAAAAGCTTATATACTTAAATTAGGAATCCTTAACTCTCGAACAAAATGGTATGTTTCCCAAATATTTCTGTCTGTATTTAAGGCTGGAGGTAACTGAGGCTTCATTGAAACTGGTTAATAATCTTTGTCTAATGAACCTTGATTTAAAAGTTGGAAGTCAAATATGAGCACAAAATATTTCTGTAATGGTATTAGAAAATAAAACTTCCCTCTTTTCTCACTCTCTTTCTCTTTTAACCTCTCTTCCTTTCCTTCAACCTCTTTTCTCTCTCTTCCCCACCTCCTGTTCCCTTTTACATTCCCCCTCCCTAACCCCATCTCTCTGGACTTCTTACACTCTTTCAACTTCTCAATCCATCTCTCCCTTTTCACCTCTGTTAATCACTTTTTCTTTCTCAATCCCTCTACTTTTTTTTCAATTAACAACCTCCCTCTTCTCCTTTCTTTTCTCCCTCTCCCCAATCTCTTATACTCTTCCAAATTCTCATCCTCCTTCCCTCTCTCAATCCTTCTTTCTCAATGCCCTCCATCTTTCTCTTTCAACCAACCTCCCTTCCCCTTCCCTTTCCTTTTCTTACCAACCTTTTCTGTCTTTCTCTTTTCCCTCTTTCTCTCAACCCTCTGCCCAACTCCTCTCTTTTTCTCTCAACCTTTCCTTTCCTTTGCAAATGCTACAATGAGAAAGTATTATAAATGTCCTAGTATTTACTAAAAACCCTCACATGAATATTGGTCTAAAGGTTCTGCTTTCATTAAGTTATACTTTTGGATAGGAACACTGAGGAAAAATGAAAGATGAGATTTGCAATAGGGATTCTCTAATTCTCATGTTAATCTGTTTTGTACCATTTTTACTTTGTCTTTTGTGGATCTCTTCTTTTTATTAGATGATATTAAAGGGGATTAAAGTTGTATTGTATGAAATGTCAGGCCTGTCTAAAGCTTTTTTTTTCTTTTTTTTCCCCTCACACTTTGATCTGCTGGCCATTAATTTTGTTGCTGACACAATCGCTATTGTGACTTCCCTGGGTGGTGATTTGGGTGTAGTAGGGGCCAAGTCTGAAGGTTTACTGAAAAATGGACCCTAAAAGGCAGATTAATTGCAGAAATGTCATACAAATTTGTTTAACATGTATACACATGAGACGATACAGGAGAAATTGTCCATTTTTATGCTTAGTACAGAGAGCCATGTAGAGATATGATTTGACAAAAAGTGTATGATTTAATGCTGGCAGACTGAGTGGGGAAACCCAGTGAGGCTTGTCTGTCTCTATTCTCTTGGCTCTCTAAGCATGCATTTTTTCCTACTGGTATGAGGCAGTTCTCTCTCTGAAATGGGGGTCTGATGACCTACAGTCAAACAAGGTAAGTCAGATAATTTCTTTATGGCAAGTTTTTACACAGAAAGGCTGGAGCAGCAGGAAGTTAGAGTAATATTTTTAGGTTTTATGGCTGACTTTGGCAAAATGGGTTCTGATTTCTATGACCTACCCTGGGGAAGAGGGATCCTAGTTTCTATGGCTATCTATGGGGGAGAATGGGACTGAAAAATTGGAGAGCAGGACAAGGTCAGGAAATGTTTGCTTCTGAGGCCTTCATTTTGGGGCATTGTTTTCTGAGCCCCTAGAGGATGATGCTCTCAAGGTCCTTCAGCAAAGGGTGCAAGGTTAGCACCCCCTGTTTGACCCAGAGTAGCCACCTGATTTCCCTAAGAGAGTCACAGGCTATTTGGTGTTCTGTTTTTGGCTTCTGTTTGGCTATAATTTTAGAGTTCTTCCATATTCAATCTTTAATAGGACCTACTGTGTTAGAGCTGTTTTACTTTTCCTCTAGTTGAAAGCCAATTTAATTGAGGAGGGCGCATAAGCTTTCTTTCTTTCTTTGGCCTTCTTTCCAAGAACCACTCTCTCTTTTGTAATTCTTTTTTTTTTTTTTTTTTTTTTGAGACAGAGTCTTGCCCTGTCGCCCAGGCTGGAGTGCAATGGCATGATCTCAGCTCACTGCAACCTCCGCCTCCTGGGTTCAAACGATTCTCCTGCCTCAGCCTCCTGAGTAGCTGGGGTTACAGGCACCCGCTACTATGCCCAGCTAATTTTGTATTTTTAGTAGAGATGGGGTTTCTCCATGTTGGCCAGGCTGGTCTCGAACTCCTGACCTCGTGATCTGTCCACCTCAGCCTCCCAAAGTGAGCCACCATGCCTGGCTCCGTTTTGTGTTTCAATGTGAAGCTCTCTATGTATTTCGTTGCCATCAACTGTGTAAATTTATCTATGATGTAAGGGTTACATGGCCAAATTTAAAGAACTTAGAGAACTCATAACCTGATTTTTATTCATGTATTTTTAAAAATCCTTCTTGACCACCTACTGTGTGCCAGACAGAGACACCTAGAAAGAGAAAGCTTTCATCTGTAGAATCTCATTATAATAGAGAAAAACAATACATGAAGATAACTACTATTCAACATGCTATAGAAGCCAGCAGCCTAGGCAGGAACAACTACTGTTTTCTGCAGGAATAAGTGAATGTAATATTTGAGCTGAGTTTTAAGGTTTAAATAATAGTTGACTTGGTTTAGTTTAGTATTTATGTTTTATACACCATCTCTTATGTAACAAGCTATTTCCCTATCAACAACTCCACATAGTGTGAGTTTCTCCTGTCACATGGATCATTGGAAAATTTTTTTGTTCATTCTTAAGTCATAAATTACATTACTTCATTTCCTCTAACCCTTCACCTTTTCTTTCTGATATGTGTTTCAATGATGTAGTGCCAACATTTCACACTTTCCTTGTCAATTTAACAAACAGTCAACAACTTAAGTCTAGTAAGTATCTTATTCTCGCTGAAGATTAACAATGTTGGCCCATCTCTTGATTGCATCTTTGTCTCAACTTTATTATTCATAATATTAGCACTTGTGTTTTTCTATTTCCCACTGGTATGTATGAGAGTAAATTTTAACCAAATTATTAAATAATGGCAACAAAAACAACTGCTAGGTCCAAAGTTACTAAGAAACTCTGACAGAGGCAGAAGAAAATAGAAGGATTATAATAAAAGAAAGTAAAACTACAGTGATTAAGAAAGGGTGGGGCTGGGCATGGTGGCTCACACCTGTAATCTCAGCGCTTTGGGAGACCGAGGCAGGTGGATCACGAGGTCAGGAGATCGAGACCATCCTGGCTAGGACGGTGAAACCCCGTCTCTACTAAAAATACAAAAATTTAGCCGGGAGTGGTTGTGGGCCCCTGTAGTCCCAGCTACTTGGGAGGCTGAGGTGGGAGAATGGCGCGAACCCGGGAGGTGGAGCTTGCAGTGAGCGGAGATCGTGCCACTGCACTCCAGCCTGGCTGACAGAGCAAGACTCTGTCTCAAAAAAAAAAAAAAAAAAAAGAAAAAAAAGAAAGGGTGGTATTGCTGCAGAGAAAAATAAACAGACCAATAAAACAATACCGAAGGAGTCAGCAATGCCATTTTAATTGTTTAACTTGGCAAACAAAATGCATAGGGTGACAATATCAACAGATAATGAGAATATGGAGTAAGAGGAACTCTTCTCACTGCTGGTGGGAAAGTATAATTAGGTACTCCAGCTTTGGAAAACTCAGACAATATCAGTAAAGTTGAAAATAACAGTGTCTTCTCAGTCAACAAGTTCATCTCTAGGTATATACCCTACAGCATTGTCTTCAGCCATGGATAAAATCAAATGTATGTATCTGGGGCATGAAGAATAATTTAACAAACTCCTTATGTGATTCTAATATGCAGCCAGGTTTGAGACCTGTGTCCCACAGGAAAGTGATGTAACCGTGGACCATTGGATATGTACAGGCATGTTTACAGAAACACCAACAAAAAGTTGGAATTACAAATGTCTATTACAGGAGATGGTATAAACAAAATAGTATAATGCTTGCATGGCAGTAAAATACAACAGTCCACAGGCTCTTTAGTGAATCTTAGAAACAATGTTGAGTTTAAAAACCAACAACGTTGAGTTTAAAAACCAAGTTTAGAAAATTAGGCACCACATGAAGCTCAGAAACAGGTAAAATTAAATCGTTTGTTTAGGTTTAAAAAGGCAAGGCAATGCTATCACACCAGAGCTGTGGGGAGGTAGTGGAATAAGCTGGAAGAGTCACACAGGAGCCATTGCAATGCTATCCACTTCTAGTTACGCTGGATGGTGGTCTCACAGATATTTATTATCTTGTTCCATAATTTACATATATTTGCAAATATAAAATACTACACGATATGAAATACTTAAAGCCCCTTTTAACAACACTAGCTCCTCAGGTTGGAAACTGTTCTCCTCCTGTCTAGGTATTTAGAAGTTCCTCAGTAAGCCCTTACATTCTTTTCAGTTCCCTATGCCTAGAAAGCCCACAGTGTCACTGTGACTTGTGGTTACTGATGTCATTTGTAACAATGAGCCTAGTTGTTAACATTAGCAGTTACACTTTCTACCATCTACTTTCTTGTATGAGAAAACAGTTTTAAATGTGTTTGTATGTCTTCCAGGAGTGAGATATTACTTGACCTTTCCATTTAGCTCATTTATTCATTAAAACTAATCTCATTCAAATATTTTGAATATGCCGTTAATAACCTTGGGACACAGGGATTATGAGTATTGGGTTCTGAAGTCAGAGTCCTTGGGTTCAGATCCCAGTTCCACCATTAAGTAGTGTTATAACTTTGGGAAAATTAGCCTCATTGTACTTCTGTTTCTTCATCTATAAAGTGGAGGTAATACATCTACTCATAGGGATATTCTGAAGATAAAGGAGTTTCTACATTTAAATCACATAAATGATAGTTGGCACCTAGTAAACTTCCAATAAATTGTATCTATTATCTTATGTATTTTCCTAAAATGAAGCTTTTAAAGAGGTTCTTCTTCCCGTTTGAGTCCTTTAAAATGTTTCTGAACAAAAAAAAAAAAAAATAGTTAAGGCTGGACGCGGTGGCTCATGCTTATAATCCCGGGCGAGGTGGCTCACCCTTATAATCCCAGCACTTTGGGAGGCCGACGCGGGTGGATCACTTGGGGTCAGGAGTTCGAGACCAGCCTGGCTAACATGGTGAAACCCTGTTTCTACTAAAAATCAAAAGTTAGCCTGGCGTGGTGGTAGGTGCCTGTAATCCCACCTACTCAGGAGGCTGAGGCAGGAGAGTGGCTTGCACCTGGGAGGCAGAGGTTGCAGTGAGCTGAGATCATGCCACTGCACTCCAGCCTGGGAAACAGAGTGAGACTGCGTCTCAATTTAAAAAAAAAAAAGTTAAAAAATCTTTACAAAATATAAATGTGCCACAAAATTATGTCAAGTGAAAGAAGCCTACAAATATTGATTCCACTTAAATGTATAAAAAGAAAAATTTACAAAGAAAGCAGAATAGTAATTACTTAGGGTTTCAGTGAGAGCAGGAAATAAAATGGGGGTGATAGAAATGTTCTAAATTTGAATTATGGTGACTGCATAACTATAAATTTACTAAAAATCATTGAATTGAAGACTTACAATGGGAGAATCTTATAGGTATGAAATTTATTAATCAGTAAAGGTTTTTAAAGGAATAGGTATAGAATTTTTACTTAGTTTCACTCTAACAGAAGTTTTTATTAACATGAGTAACTTCTGATTAGACTATGATATTTGAAGGTAGTCAAAACCTGGCAATAAACCTGTATGGGAAGCAGAGGCTGTGTCTGTCTTATGTTACTTGGAGAAAGATTTATTGTAATATATTAAGCTTTGCTATACAAGCATATAGTATTTCTTTCCAATTCTTTCTTATGTCTCCAATTTTTACAAAATAATTGTTCTCATAATTCCAATTAAGGATTTAATTGGGGAGTGAGGATCTTCCATTTGGCTATCCCATAGCTTTCAATGTGCCGACTACTTTACAAATATTAATTCCAAGCACAACTGTATGAGAAAGTCATTATCATTTTTATTTTACCAATGAGGAGATAGAAGCTCAGAGAGGTTGAGTGACTTGTTTGATATCAAACAGCTGGTTTCAGAGCAGAATTAGCACATAGGTTTGTTTGACTGCTGATGTTAGTCACCATACCACGCTGCTGATAAAAGTTCTCAGAGGATGACACAGGAAACAAAGTATGGAGTTTTGACTGGGGAGACAGGACTAGAGGCATGCAAAGATTGTAATTGGGCGGGGTTCATTCACACACTTAAAACATGTGAATGAAAATGTACGGAGGTAAAAATAAGATGTGTATGTAACAAGGAGATTCTGTTTTCAGAGAGCTTTAAAATTGTACAAATTTCCTTGACTCCATTAAGAACTGGCTGCTGATGGCTGGTTAACTCTTTAACTGACTACAATAGCTTGAAGGATTTAGGAGGTAATTCTCTTACCTAAACTAAGTCTAGCTGCCGGAAATTTAGGGCTGGTAGACAGTTCTACATTATCCAGAGGGCCTAAGGCTTTTTCTGTCTTTCTCCTCCACCATCTTCAATGTATGAGTTCAATTCTCAAATCATAAAATTGCTACTGGGCTCAAGTCATCACATCATATTCCAAGCAGGGAGAAGAGGAAGGTCAAGGAGAAAAGGGGACAAATGGCTTTGCCAAGTCTGGGAATCCCAAGTTCTTCATTTGGGTTTAATCTCTAGGATTCTGGTGTTCAAAAAAGAGAGGAGAGTTTTTTTTATATGCAACCAGAAGTCTCTACCACATTTCTAATTATTATATCTTGCTTTTTTTTTTTTTTTTTTAATTTGAGACAGAGTTTCACTCTTCTTGCCCAGGCTGGAGTACAACGGCGTCATCTCAGCTCGCTGCAGTCCCAACCTCCCGGGTTCAAGCAATTCTCCTGCCTCAGCCTCCTGAGTAGCTGGGATTACAGGCATCCACCACCACGCCCAGCTAATTTTTGTATTTTTAATAGAGATGGTGTTTTGCCATGTTGACCAGGCTAGTCTTGAACTCCTGACCTCAGGTGATATGCCCGCCTCGGCCTCCCAAAGTGCTGGGATTACAGGCATGAGCCACCGTGCCTGGCCATACCTTGCTTTTAATTTTACTTTTGTCATCTATTCTAGAAATAAAAGAAGAAATAGTGTTAATTAAAAACAATATCATAGTTGTATAAAGGAAAAAGGATAATTATGTCACTGCTGTCCTTTTTCCATTTCTTCCAGTTAACATTGTATAACAATAATAGCAGTTTCAATTATGAGATAGGCCTAGAAAGTGGAGGGGAGAAAAGTATCAAGAAAACAAATTAGGACAATTTCCTAGAACCAAAGGACATGAGTTGCCATACCAAGGAGCCATTTGATGCCCAGCACAACAATGAAGACAGACCCATGTCAGAGACATTGTAAAACTTAAGAACACCAGGGACAAAGTTGTACAAAATTCCAGAGGAAAAGAAATCTCATCTTATGGGGCAGGAATCTCAGTGACTTTATACTTTGCATCAGGAATGTTTGAAGCAAAAAGATACATTGCCATGTGGGCCTCTCCACTGGACTTAAGTGTGCTTACGCTAGAACAGCTGGATTTCCACAAGAGATGACCCAGGGGAGGGCAAGCAGAAGCCACAATGTTATTTATGGCCTTTGCTAGCACTAGCACCTTTTAAACTTTAACAATCTTTTTAATTCTTCCCAAACAAATCACAGTTCAATGGAATTAAGCCTACTTGCTTAGCATATAGACAAAAAGAAAAATGTAGAAAAGGTACTAATTTCCTAGCCTCATATTTTTCCATAACTTGCCCCAGAATGGAAGATTCTAATGGTTTCCTATGTGTAACTTAAATTAAGCACGGACTTGGCTTATGATAGGCATGATATTAGTGGCTTCTCCTGATGAAGGCTCAGCTGTCCTCGCCTACTGTTATGAGAGGGACAAAGGGGATCAAATGTGTTACAGAGTATCACCATTGTAAGATAAATGTGATACCAAAGCTGAAGTCCCAATCTGTGTAAAGGACTCAGATCTTTAATGGGGTTCCCCCAACCTAACTACCCTCCATTAGAGGAAAATCAATTTCTGACCAAATCTACTCTCCCAAAGTCTAGTTCATGAAAAAGTGTATGTAAGGCAAGGGGGAATGTCTATCTCTCACTAGCTTCTTTCCCTTCAAGACCCAGAGAGAGACGGGGAACTTCATGTTTGCTGTCTCAATATTTATCTTTTACTTTGAAAAACAACTTTAGAAAAAAAGCATATGTGTCAAGTTAGGTCCTGTAAATAGTAACAGTATGGTATATATTTATTCATAATTTTTAGTCAAAATGTTTGACCTCTGAGGGCCTATTATTTATGTTATTTAGCTGCTTGTGTATTTTTTTACAAGATATAAAAATTGCTTTTGGGACATATCACATGTCTGGGATGGAAATTATTTCACTTTTTTAGTTCAACACTGAAGTTAGATTTTTTTTTCAGCCTTTTAAAATAACCTTTATTTTTTAAAAGTTAATATGTCCATTATAGGAAACCAAAAAACACAAGAAGCAAAGAACAAAGTCATTCACAATCACAAGCAGTTTATAGTTTGACATATGCTTCTAGATCCTGTGAGTAGGCACAACATCCAATTTCATGGGACTGAGATTGTACAGTATGTATCATGATTTTTCACACATCATGAATATTTACCAATTCAAAATCCCAAAGCTATATGAGTATTTTGATAACCAAGAATACACTACACCAACTCAAACTGCTAAAAAAAAAAAAAAAAAGTAATCCTGCCTTTCTTGGGACAAACATCTCATAGAAGACAAAAATGGCAACACGCCTCTAGATAAAAGCATTGGCAGAGTTCCGATTTAAATGCTGCATTCCCTTAATGCTCAATTTAAAATGAAACACACAGCAACAGAATACACTAAGTATGTTTTTAAGAGAATGCATTAGCAGAGCTACACCATTAAAATATTAGCAAAGTGTATTTCCCTTGAATTACTTAATGTGTTCTTATAGTACAGCCAAAAGAGATGCATACATCAATGGCTATCAAAATGTAAATATGGACATATATGGACACATCTGCATACATCTCTGCCTGTATAATTCCTTCTGCCCCTCTGCTGCCAACCTAATGAACAAGTCCTGACATATACTGCTCAGAGGTGGCTTAACAATTCCATGTCCAAGATGCATCTTTTCTATCAATTATATTTACAAATAGGCTAATTACATAATTTGTAATTATATTACAAATAGGCTAGGTATTTACAAATAGGCTAATTAACTAGCTCTAGTTTTTATCGTAAGTTGTCACCCCATTCGTAAAGCTTAGATGTTGCAAAACAATAACTTTGTCCACAATGAACAGAGGCACTTTATTAAAAATGCTCATATAGACCTGTGGTTATCATCTAAAACCATCGTCTAGATATGGAGATACTAGCAAAGAGCCCTTCCCTTCACCCTTCCTCTTCTCCCTCTTCCACCATCCCAGTGACTAAGTATAGGATGTCTAGCTCCAAGAGGTGGACTAATAAAGGTCACTCCCAGAAGACAGGCCTTCCTAAAAACTAACAAAAGGACATTCACAAAGGGACTGATTTACTACATCTATTTTTAACATACTTTGAGCATTAAGACTTATCCTTTAATACACAATATTAACTAAAATGCACATATAGAACAATGTTTAGACCATCTGAACTAATCTCAGGAGCACAGAACCCTTCTCCCTGCATACCTCCTCTGCCCACCCCCGCTTCCCCCGCCCCAACCACCTAATGAATAGTCTGCATTCGCTCCTAAGCATCACCTTTTAACAATTCCATTCCCAAATGCAACCACTCCTAGGAAGTACTGAAAACAAATGCTTAGAGGGGTGTTACTTAAGCCCTCTACTTTTAACCTACATTGTGCACTTTTTTTTTTTGAAACGGAGTCTCGCTCTGTCGCCAGGCTGGAGTGCAGTGGTGCGATCTCGGCTCACTGCAACCTCCACCTCCCAAGTTCAAGCGATTCTCCTGCCTCAGCCTCCCGAGTAACTGGGGCTACAGGTGGACACCACCACGACCAGCTAATTTTTGTATTTTTAATAGAGATGGGGTTTCACTATGTTGGCCAAGATGGTCTCGATCTCTTGACCCCGTGATCCGCCTGCCTCGGCCTCCCAAAGTGCTGGGATTACAGGTATGAGCCACTGCAACAGGCCGTTGTACACTTTTAAACACCTAGAAAGACTAGATGTTTCAAACTGGACTTAAGTTTTTCATTATATACACAGTAGCATTGAATAAATGGTATACATACATAACACAGACTGTAATTTGAGTGTCTTCTAAATAGGAACATTCTGGCCTAGAACCCTTCCCTTTCCCACCTCTACCAACCCCGTGGACAGCTATAAGCCATCTGTAATGCTTAGGGGGGATTTTAACAATCTCACTTCTGTTTTTAAGAAGTCTTTCCTATGAATTTTAACACAAAGTGTACTCAATGTAGTAGTTTACTAATTCTACTTTTGTCATATACTGGCAACCTTTTTAACGTCGACTGGATGTAAATTAGGACTCCTTTGTCCACTTATATACACTATATACACAGCACAGTAAATGAAAATGCAGACATAAGGGACAATGGTCAATGTGCCTCCTCATAAACACACTGGACACTGGTAGAAAGCCCTTTGCACTTTGTGCTCCTCCTTCCCCCTGAACCAGCACAAATATCAAAATGTGTACTGCTCAGAGAATTGATCAATTTCCAAGACAATATTTCATATCAAAAGGATAGCTACAAAATGTGTTATTTACTACCTCTACTTTTAACATACTTTGTGCACTTCTAAACATCTAGAAAGACTAGATGTTTCAAATAAGGACTTAAGTTTGTCCGCTATATACACAGTAGTGTTGAATAAACTACACACATGTAACAATGGGTATATCTGAAAGTGTCTTCTAAATAGGAACATTCTGGTCTAGAACCCTTCATTCCTTCCAACTCCTCTCCACCACCAACCTGGTGGATATAGGCACGTGTCACTTAGAGCTGATGTTATCTCACTTCCAAAAGTCCTTTTCACAAGACAGCTTTTCTACAAATTTTAACAAAGTGTACAAAATGTGTTAGTTTACTAACTCTACTTCTGTCATACATTGGCAACCTCTTTAGTATCTAGAGACTAGATATTATAAAATCGGGACTCATTTGTCCATTATATACACAGTATAGCAAAGTTAAATGAAATGCATGTAACATATAGGCAATGGATTAAGCTGAAATTTGTTAATAAACAATGTCAAAACACCATTTGCAATTTCTTCCCTCCCACCTCCCAGGTGGTTCAACAATTCCACTTCCAAACAGCATTTCCCATCAGTTTTTAAAAGCTATTTACAAAGTGTTATTCTACTACCACTTTTAAATACATCAAGCACTTCCAAATATCTAGAAAGACTAGATATTTCATATAACTTGTCCACCACGTACACAGCACTGTTAAATAAAATTGCACACACATAACAATGGTTATCATCTGAGGTATCTTCTAAATGTGGCCATTTTGGCCTTGAATCATTCCCCCCTCCCTTCCTTCTCTGCCTTCAATCCAGTGGACAAGTACAGGCACATGTAATGCTTAGAGATGGTTGACCAAATTCCTATGCAAAAGTCATTTACAGAAGACAAGTTTTCGTATGAATTTCAACACAAAGAGTACAAAATATGCTAATTTTACTACATTGTCATACACTGGCAACCTCTTTAACATCTAGAGACTAGATGTTGAAAAATTAGGACTATTTGTCCATTATATACACTATATACAGAGCAAAACAAAATGCACAAAACATATAGAAAAATGGTGTCTGAAAACGTCCAAGTATGAACACACTAGTATATTACCTTTTGCAATTTCTTCCCTCCCACTTCCTCTAAACCATTGAACAAGTATAGACATTACTATACTGCTCACAAAGGTGGCTTCACAATTCAATTTCCAGAAGTATTTCCTATGAATTTTAGCAAAAAGATATTTACAAAGTGGTATTTTACTACCTCTACATTTAACATACATTGGGCACTTCTAAACATCTAGATAGACTAGATGTTTCAAGTAAGGAGTTAATTTGTCTACTATGTATACAGCAGTCTTGAATAAACTGCAAACATGTAAAAACAGTTATAATTTGAAAGAGTCTTCCAAATGTGAACATTCTGGCCTAGAACCCTTCCCATTTCCATCAACCCAGAATACATCAAATTTTCAGAAGACAATCTTTCCTAGGACTTGTAAAACAAAATGTACAAAATATATTAGTTTACTAACTCTACTTTTGTCATACACTGGCAACCTCTTTAACATCCAGAAAGACTAGATGTTGTCAATTAGGATTCGTCTGTCCTTTATGTACACTATATACACAGATAAGTAAAACAAAACGCACAGAGATAATGATTCATCTTGCCTCGCTGTAAACAGGATGTCATAGAGCTCTCTGCACCTCCCCCTCCTCTCTCTTCCCCTGAACCACACTGCACAATGAGCATTACTCAACAGGTGATTTGGCCATTCCCCCCAAAAAACATTTCCTATGATTTGTAACAAAAAGGTATTTACAAAATGTGATTTTGCTACCTCTAATTTTAACATATCAGGCACTTCAGAACATCTAAAAAGAATAGACATTTCAAAAAAGCTTAGCATTGTCAACTATATACACAGTAGTGAAGAATAAAATGCACACAAAACAATGGATAGAATATGAAAATGTCTTCTAAATATGACCAGTCTAGCACAGAACCTTCTTCTCTTCCTTCTCAGGTCTTCCACCTCCATGTCATCTAACCCACTTAACAAACGTGGACGTATCGCTTCCAGAGGCCGTCTTAACAACTCCATTTCTAAAAGTCATCTCCAGAAGACATGTGTTTTCTATGATTTCTTTTAAACAAATGAGAATTTACAAGATGTGTGACTTTCTATTTTATCATATGTCGGCAACCTCTTTCCATCTAGAAGGGCTAGATGTGACAAATGTTTTCTATTAAAAGGTTGGGGTGAAGTTGAGAGCAGCTTTTTCATATTATATACACAGGCCTTACATAAACGGCCAGTAAATCTTCCCAGAGGGTGGTGGGCATTTCCAACGGGCCAAACGTGGCCTGTCATTCTACCATTTCTCTCTTCTGACAGCAAAGTCTGGTAGAACAAAGACCAACCGCCCGATAGCCGCTAACCGTTCCACCCGTCGTCTTTCGGGACTTCACTCACCTTCCAGGCCCCTGAAGGCCTTTGTCCGTTGTCGTCAGGACTAGGTCGGTCTCGCCCAATGGCGACAGAGTGGTCACCCGGGAACCGGATCTGCGCGGCTCCGTGGCCTAAAGAGGTGGCCGAGCCTGCTTGCGTCCCTAGGCCGCCTTCCCGGGCCCTCCACGCCTTAATGGCCTCCGCCGCGCGGCGTTCAAGCGGCCGCCATACTTTCCGGCCCACCACGCCCGGCGCCGCCCAAAGGCGCTGCGTCCCAGCGACTCTGCGGGGGTTTCGTCGAGGCCCGGCAGGCTTGGGTCGGGAGACGCGGCGGCCGGCGGGGTCCCGTCGGGGAGACGCAGCCGCCGCCATCAGTCATCCAGGTGGGGTGGGAAAGAGAGGTTCGCTGCGGCTTCAAGGCCTGGGCACAGCCAGTGGGCAGCCACAGCAGAGGCCTCCGGTATCTGCAGGGCAGAGGCCTCGGCCTGTCCCGGGGCCCCCCAGTTCACCCGCCGGCCCGGGTCCGGAGGGCCTGGAGGGCCCTGGAGGAGCTGGCTGCGTTCTGCGTCTCTCCGCGCTCTCTGCCAGACCGGAACTGAAGTTAGATTTTTGTATCAGGAAATATAAAAATATCTTCTGCTCTGCTCAGTTGAATGTTCATTTTTTTCTCATAGCATCATGTTTTTTTCCTTTTCTTTATAATTAAGACAGTTCATCATGTACATAAAAATCACATACATGAAGGCACACACATACACAAATGTACTTGTCTTAGATATTCTCTTAGGTTCAGTTGGGTTTATTAATATATAAATATTAACAGGTAAAAATAAAGTAGTAATTGTTACAAGGATTGTTATAAGGCCTGTCACTCTGGAAGGCCACATTTGTGTCTCCAAAGTCCAGCACAACATTTTAAAGAAGGATGAATTTGAAAGTCATTGGATGAGACAAGTATGCTATCTTCATGACCCCTGAAAACATTTGAGTTTCACAGGTGATAAGATTTGTCAGCATTTCTGAGTATTTATTTGTGTCATATTATTGAAATTAAAATTTGACCATAGCATGTGAATTAAATAGGTTACCACTTTTTAATGTAATAGAGAACAATAAAATATTTATATTATGTCTTAGGCACTTAGTTTTAAAACCTCACCCACTTTTAGCATACAATTATGCTTTTAAAAGGTTTAAGAAATATAAAAAGAGCTGAAATGACTTAAAATATAGATTATAGAAAATACTAATAGATGAAATAAATACATTTATGATGAAAAGAAGAACAGATAATATTGATGAAAGAATATTTGGAAATGGAAAGTAAAACACTAAATTAGAATGTTGTAATCAATATAGATAAGTATTTGAAATGAAAAACGTATTTCAGCTGAGTATTTTTGCACTGAAAGATATTGGGCCTACGGTACAATATGTTAAATACATATAGTAATATATTATTGATAATTATTAAGACTATGTACTAACACCTATCAAGATAAATAACACCAGCCATATATTTTTGGGGAGTTTATTTATTGGATCCCTTTTTACCCACAATATATAGTACAAATTCCATGAGGGTAAGAGTGTCTGCTTTGTCACTATGACAAAGTACTTGGTACTTAGCACATCATTTGTCATATTAAAGGTGCTTAATGAAATGAATATTTGTTACAAGAGTGGCCAGACTGCAAGTTCAGTTGACAGATCTGTGGTTCATTTGAGCCTATTAATCCTATTAAAATATTGCACAAACAATGCTTTATAGATAGAAGTGATTACCTTGCTGAAACAGAGGTATCAGATGGCACAGACTGTGCATGGACTGAAAGTATTTATTCATCAGCTGATTATGAAATCTAAACTTGTCATGTGAAAAAGTGATATAAGACTTTTAAGGTCAGGCGCCATGGCTCACTCCTATAATCCCAGCATTTGGGAGGCCAAGGTGGGTGGATTATTTGAGGTCAGGAGTTCGAAACCAGCCTGATCAATACGGTGAAACCCCGCCTCTACTAAAAGTACAAAAATTAGCCTGATGGGGTGGTGGGTGCCTGTACTCCCAGCTACTTGGGAGGCTGAGGCGGGAGAATCGCTTGAACCCAGGAGGTGAAGGTGAAGGTTGCAGTGAGCCGAGATTGTGTCACTGCACTCCAGCCTGGGGGACAGAGTGAGACTCTGTCAAAAAAAAAAGACTTTCAAGTCCCAACTTGGCATATGAAAAAAAAAATGATTTGAAAGAGTAAACTACAATGTTTGAAAATGTAAATTTAAAATCAGACTATATCACTGAGGATCACCTGTGGTTGAAGCAAGTGATAATGAAGGCCTGGTGTATAGCATGAGATCGGGAATAGCCTCATGAATAAAACTGATGGGTCACTGGGATTGGCAGCTAGAGAAAAGGTGGAGGAGACACAAAAATTCTAACCTGGTTAAGTTTGAGGTTAATGGTGCCATTGACTTTTCTAGGCACAGAGGAGAAGAAATAGATTTGGAGATAAATTATGAAATCCACTTGGGTACTGGGCACGGTGGCTTACACCTGTAATCCCAGGACTTAAGGAGGCCATGGTGGGGACAGATCACTTGAGGGCAGGAGTTCCAGACCAGCCTGGGCAACATGATGAAACCCCATCTCTACTGAAAATACACACACACACACACACACACACACACACACACACACACACACACAATTAACCAGGCATGGCGGCTCATGCCAGTAGTCCCAGCTACTCAGGAGGCTGAGGCACCAGAATTGCTTGAGGTGGAGGTTGCAGTGAGCCGAGATCGCGCCACTGCACTCCAGCCTGAGCAACTGAGTTAGACTCTGTCTCAAAAAAAAGACAAAAAAAAATCCATTTTGGATGTGCTGACTTTGAGGTGCTTATGGGCATTCCATTGTAAAAATTATTCATTTATTAGTTTATCTAAATTTTGCTGCTCACTTGCTGAAACTTTTACTCAAACTAGAGAAAGAAAAAAATGGCACAAAAGCACCTTTTGATCATCTTTACTAAATACAGGTTGTTATGGAACAATTATTAATCTCAGTCTGAAACCTATTGAGAGGTGACAGCGTGCCGGCAGTCCTCACAGCCCTCGCTCGCTCTTGGCGCCTCCTCTGCCTGGGCTCCCACTCTGGCGGCACTTGAGGAGCCCTTCAGCCCACCGCTGCACTGTGGGAGCCCCTTTCTGGGCTGGCCAAGGCCAGAGCCGGCTCCCTCAGCTTGCAGGGACGTGTGGAGGGAGAGGCCCCAGCGGGAACCGAGGCTGCGCGCGGCGCTTGCGGGCCAGCTGGAGTTCCCGGTGGGCATGGGCTTGGCAGGCCCCACACTTGGAGCAGCCGGCCGGCCCTGCCGGCCCCGGGCAGTGAGGGGCTTAGCACCCGGGCCAGTGGTTGCGGAGGGTGTACTGGGTCCCCCAGCAGTGCCAGCCCACCGGTGCTGTGCTGATTTCTCGCCGGGCCTTAGCCGCCCTCCCGCGGGGCAGGGCTCGGGACCAGCAGCCCGCCATGCCTGAGCCTCCCACCCCCTCCGTGGGCTCCTGTGCGGCCCGAGCCTCCCAGATTAGCGCGGCCCCCTGCTCCACGGCGCCCAGTCCCATCGACCACCCAAGGGCTGAGGAGTGCCGGCGCACCGTGTGGGACTGGCAGGCAGCTCCACCTGCAGCCCAGGTGCGGGATCCATTGGGTGAAGCCAGCTGGGCTCCTGAGTCTGGTGGAGATGTGGAGAACCTTTATGTCTTGCTCAGGGATTGTAAATACACCAGTCAGCACCCTGT
Source organism: Homo sapiens (assembly GCF_000001405.40). Lineage (NCBI taxonomy): Eukaryota > Metazoa > Chordata > Mammalia > Primates > Hominidae > Homo > Homo sapiens. Next base: position 29,386,088 of record NC_000012.12, on the reverse strand, counting down.
GTCTAGCTCAGGGTCTGTGAATGCACCAATCGACACTCTGTATCTAGCTACTCTGGTGGGCCTTGGAGAACCTTCATGTCTAGCTCAGGGATTGTAAATACACCAATCGGCACTCTGTATCTAGCTCAAGGTTTGTAAACACACCAATCAGCACCGTGTCTAGCTCAGAGTTTGCGAATGCACCAATCGACACTCTGCATCTAGCTACTCTGGTGGGGCCTTGGAGAACCTTTGTGTGGACACTCTGTATCTAGCTAATCTGGTGGGGATGTGGAGAACCTTTGTGTCTAGCTCAGGGATTGTAGGTGCACCAATCAGTGCCCTGTCAAAACAGACCACTTGGCTCTACTAATCAGCAGGATGTAGGTGGGGACTTATAAGAGAATAAAAGCAGGCTGCCTGAGCCAGCAGTGGCAACCTGCTCGGGTCCCCTTCCACACTGTGGAAGCTTTGTTCTTTCGCTCTTTGCAATAAATCTTGCTACTGCTCACTCTTTGGGTCCACACTGCCTTTAAGAGCTGTAACACTCACCGCAAAGGTCTGCAGCTTCACTCCCGAGCCAGCGAGACCATGAACCCACCAGAAGGAAGAAACTCCGAACACATCTGAACATCAGAAGGAACAAACTCCGGACATGCCGCCTTTAAGAACTGTAACAGTCACGGCGAGGGTCCGCGGCTTCATTCTTGACGTCAGTGAGACCAAGAACCCACCAATTCCAGACACATTTTGGCGACCCAGATGGGACCTTCGCCAATCACCAAGCAGTAAGACCATCGCCTATTGCTGAGCGGTGAGACAATCACCTATTGCCAAGCAGTGAGTACCATCGGACCCCTTTAGCTTGCTATTCTGTCCTATCTTTCCTTAGAATTTGGGGGCTAAATACCGGGCACCTGTTGGCCAGTTAAAAGCGACTAGCGTGGCCACCGGACTAAAGACACGGGTGTCAGGTTTTCTGGGAAAGGGCTCTATAACAACCCCCGACTCTTCGGAGTTGGGACCATTGTTTTCCCTAGAACCAGCTTCTGCTTTTCCAGTACTTCTGGGCTGAGCCGAGGGTCGACAGAGAGGAAAGCCATGCAGCTCTGGGGTCCCGACAACAAGTTGGTTGACCCTGCGGCCATGAGCAGAACTCTCAAAAGCATGTCGCCCAAGCGAGACTCGCCCATCTATCCTATCTATCCTGACCCTTGCCCCCTGGGTCCTAATGCCTGTCAGACAAACTTCCTCTTGCCTCTCTTCTCTGAGGTTAGTCCCGCTTCTAAAAATTGCTACCGTCTCTGGTGCTTTTCTAGTTTCTCCTATAAGAATGATTTCTAGTATAAACTCCAGGACTCTGTTACCTTCTTTAGGCACCCGGGCTCACCAATCAGAAAGACATAATTTTTGCCCAAAGCCCCATCGTAGTGGGGACTACCTGGAATTTTAGGATCCCTCCTCAGACTAACAGGCCTAACAAAAGCTATTCCTGAAGCTAGGATATGGGGAGCCTCAGAAATTATATCCTTCCTATTCATATAAGTGAGGACAAAAGGTGTCACTCTTCCAAACCTGGAGATCCCTTCCCTCCCTCAGGGTATGGCCCTCCACTTCATTTTTGGGGCATAACATCTTTATAGGACAGGGGTAAAGTCCCAGTACTAACAGGAGAATGCTTAGGACTCTAACAGCTTTTCGAGAATGCGTCGGTAAGGGCCACTAAATCGATTTTTCTCAGTTGGTCCCCCTTGTGGCCTAGGAGGACAGGCAAGGGTGCAGGTTTTCGAGAATGCGTCGGTAAGGACCGCTAAATCTGACTTTCCTTGGTCCTCCATGTGGTCTGGGAGGAAAACTAGTGTTTCTGCTGCTGCGTTGGTGAGCGCAACTATTCCGATCAGCAGGGTCCAGGGACTGTTGCGGGTTCTTGGGCAGGGGTTGTTTCTGCTGCTGTGTTGGTGAGCGCAACTATTCTGATCAGCAGGGTCCAGGGACCGTTGTAGGTTCTTGGGCAGGGGGAGAAACAAAATAAACCAAAACGCGGCAGTTTTGTCTTTCAGATGGGAAACACTCAGGCATCAACAGGCTCACCCTTGAAATGCATCCTAAGCCATTGGGACCAATTTGACCCACAAACCCTGAAAAAGAGGCGGCTCATTTTTTTCTGCACTACGGCTTGGCCCCAATATTCTCTCTCTGATGGGGAAAAATGGCCACCTGAGGGAAGTACAAATTACAATACTATCCTGCAGCTTGATCTTTTCTGTAAGAGGGAAGGCAAATGGAGTGAAATACCTCATGTCCAAGCTTTATTTTCATTGAGGGAGAATACACAACTATGCAAAGCTTACAATTTATATCCCACAGGAGGATCTCTCAGCTTATCCCCATATCCTAGCCTCCCTATAGCTCCCCTTCCTATTAATGATAATCCTCCTCTAATCTCCCCTGGCCAGAAGGAAACAAGCAAGGAAATCTCCAAAGGACCACAAAAAACCCCGGGCTATTGGTTATGTCCCCTTCAAGCTATAGCGGGAGGGGTATTTGGCCCAACCCGGGTACATGTCCCCTTCTCCCTCTCTGATTTAAAGCAGATCAAGGCAGACCTGGGGAAGTTTTCAGATGATCCTGATAGGTACACAGATGTCCTACAGGGTCTAGGCAAACCTTTGACCTCACTTGGAGAGATGTCATGCTACTGTTAGATCAAACCCTGGCGTTTAATGAAAAGAATGCGGCTTTAGCTGCAGCCCAAGAGTTTGGAGATACCTGGTATCTTAGTCAAGTAAATGACAGAATGACAGCCGAAGAAAGGGACAAATTCCCGACTGGTCAGCAAGCCATCCCCAGTATGGATCCCCACTGGGACCTTGACTCAGATCATGGGGACTGAAGTCATAAACATCTGTTGACCTGTGTTCTAGAAGGACTAAGGAGAATTAGAAAAAAGCCCATGAATTATTCAATCGAACTAGAGAAAGAAAAAAATGGCACAAAAACACCTTTTGATCATCTTTACTAAATACAGGTTGTTATGGAACAATTATTAATCTCAGTCTAAAACCTATCTTATGCGGGTAATACATAATGGACTTTTTAAAGCAAATTGTTTTTCAGACATAACGCCACTGATAACACAAGATTAAGTATCTATCTCTTTTTAAAGATGATCCTGATAGGTACATAGATGTCCTACAGGGTCTAGGGCAAACCTTTGACCTCGCTTGCAGAGATGTCGTGCTACTGTTAGATCAAACCCTGGCCTTTAATGAAAAGAATGCGGCTTTAGCTGCAGCCCGAGAGTTTCAATCTTCAGGGGAAATTAAGTTCCCTCTTCACTGGGTAGATTAGAAAATGGTGAGTTGTTTTCTAAATAAGAAGGATCAAATTAGTCAGTTTTGCTACACTGGGAAATCCAACTCTCATGGGATAGTTGTTACCCTGAAAGTAGGTTATCCAGGAGATGAGGGATCAGATGTAACTAAGTGAACAACAGCCAGCCTCCATCCAAGCAAGAGCCCATATTCACAAAGAAGGAAGAGTTGCTGATGCCTTTACGGCAAAGATTAAAAAAAGGCATTTTAGATGTATATTAATTTACTTAATCCTCGTAACAACTCTGAGATATTATCATGCCCATTTTACAGATGAGCAAATGGAGACACAAAGAGATGAAATAATGTGGTCAAGGTTACATGCTAGTAAGTTGCTGATCTGGAATTCTAACCCAGGAAGTCCTGTCTCCAGTGTCTATGATTTCACCCACTACACTATACTTCTTAAGCATGTCAAGAAAGTGAGAACTTTAAATTGATTTAATTAGACTAACTCTGAAAGTCTGAAAATAAAATTGATTCATTGGAAACTTTTCATCAGTCCTTATTTTGGGGGATATTCAATTTAGTGAAATTTAGTATTTCAGTAAAGGTTAATTCACTACATAAAACAATGTGATTTTTTTCCTTTGAGGCACAGTTTAGTATTGTGATCAAGATTTCCCTGACTCTCCCAGCGGTCTGAATTTGGGTAAATCACTTCACTACCCCTTGACTCAAATTCCGTATTTATAAAACAGGTAAATACTGGTATTATCTTCTAAGAGTGTTGTGAGGATACGCAGATTTTTTAAAAAAGCAGTTAAAGCCTTTAAACAGTAATTATAAGCAGTTGTCATAATTATGCCGTTGTTAGACTTCTAGGTCAATGAATCAGAAAATTTAAATCTCAATGTTTGATTATAAAATCTGGTAACAGATGGGTGAAAAGGAACCTGGAATGGGTTTACTCTCCAGGAGTTCACATTTAACTTTTCTTTCCGAAGTTCCGTCTATTAACTCCTGTTCTATGAAGTGGTAGAAAAAGATGAGGTATTAATTTTCTTTCTTAACAAATATTTGAAGGCATAGTTGGTGTTGGCGAAGGGAGATGAGGAAGACATATGTGCTTTCTTATGATATTAAAACCTGGAAGACAATAAAAACGCTGATCAAATAATAAAAAGCGTTACCTATGGCGGAAAAGGAAGCTCAAATGTTCTTGTCAGGGGAAAACGACACAAAAACTGAAAGAGGGAAACAAAACAATTGCACAGGTGATATGCATTAGGGTTGTTAGGGATAATTTCTGCGCCCAAGGCTCTTATTAGTAATGAAATACGGTGTGAGGAGCTGAGATTCGTTCTGCAGTCTCAGTGTTAGTCGGAAAGTAACCCCTCCCTTCCCATAGAAACAGAACCGGACTGGCGGCGCGATTACACCTAAAACAAGTTGCAACCTCATTTCCCTGTAGGCACGCCTCTTTTATCTTAACCACGCCTCTTCATTCCCTAAGCACGTCGTAAGCAAAGGGAATATCGCGAGATCTGTACATTGTCTCTTTTCTGACGTTTTCAGCTGTGATAGTCGCTTTTGTTCTCGCGATATTTCCGGGTACGCGGGAGCCCCGGCGACCCGGGCTTCTGTGAAACATGGCGGTAGGCTGGGACCATAACACAAGGTAAAATACTGAAACACCGCTGGGTGCTGTTCCCTCGGTTGTTCCAGGGCTGTTTAGGGCGTAAATGCAATTGAGGGAACTGGGAGCCTGTCATGGGCTTGGCTTCCTGTCTTCATTGATCTCTAGAGAGCCGGTCGGACGGAGAAGCCGCTCCACCTCCCACGGGGGCGTTACTGGCAGGACCCTAGGCAACGATGCTACTGGGAGCTTCCCTTTGCCAGGTCCGGGTGCTTGTGTGCTATCCTGCAACTCGAAGGAGTTCAGGTGCTTCCTCGATCGCACCTGATTCTGACCCTTTGCTTGTCACAGTGCCCGGTTCCCAGGTGGTTTCTCCAGTCCGCAGGCGAGTAGGATCCCAATCGGTCGAGTCCCAGTCCTCCCGGATGTCAGACTCCCTACCCCCATTCAGACAAATGCCACATTCGTGGCAGCACGTTGCCCTCTGTCTCTTTAAGAGTCTTGGCCTTGCCCGGAAGGAGTTTCGCACAGTGCTTCGGAAAATGAGAAGGGGGCGGGGGAGGGCGAGATGCTGAGAGACAGGTTCGACTGTCACTACTTTTCCTCGGCGCAGGAAACCTTCCGAAGGCAACGTGTCAACTCGTGGTGGAGAATAGCCTTGTTTATCTGTAGTATATAGAGTTGACAGGTCATTGTTTGAGAAAACACGTTTAAATAACTTTTATATTTTAGTGCCCCCGAGACTTAAAGACAAAGTGGCATAATAGCTGTTAAAATGTTGCCAGACTGGTTTTCAGAAGCAATGAAAGTTACAGTTAAAAACAGGATTTATTCATTTGAAGTTGTAATTCAGTATTTCAGTTAATTGCCTAGCCTGATACATTGGACTCCAGTATACAGCAATTATAAAGAATGAGCCTGGCTTGTTCACTGAAAAAAGACATGGTTATTTACCTAATTTGTTTGTTGATATCTTTAAGTTGTTGTAATTATGCCAGTTCTAGTGGAAAACATGAGGAAAAAAATTCTGATTTTTTGGGAGGGTGGGGGTTGGCGGTGCAGGGATGGATAGAGAGAGGAGGATTTTTTTTTTTTTTTTAAATGATGGTGAACTTTAGTATACAGTTGCGTGTTATAATGGCTTCCTGGTACAAATCATAAAAATATATCAAGTTTGAAAGATCTCTCAAAGGAAATCAGGCCTAGTCTGGAACAACGAGAGTTAGGGAAACAACAACAACCACCCACACATTTTCTTTCTTTGGGGATTGATGATTTAAGTGAAAGAAATGGCTATTTTTTTTTTCTTTACCAGAAGTTACTTTTAGGCAGTCAGTGCCTGCTAAAAATCCTATTTAATAGTTTCCCAATATTTATTGTAATTCTGCCTCTTAATGTCATAGTGGTCAAATTATTTAACCTCTCTGTGCCTTAGTTCCTTCATCGGCCAAATGAAATAATGATACTTAACTCATAGGAAGGTTGTGAGGATTGAATGTGTTGAAACATACAAAGCATTTAGAACAATACCTGGCACACAGTAAACACTCAATGCATGTTAGCTCTTGTTATTTTTTATTTTCATTTTCTAACATCTGTAGTTACAAATGTTGCCTTGTTACTTAGTCAAAATGTAGACTGAAGAAGATATTGTTTAAAATAATATCTTTCTGAACTCCAGATTGATTAAACACTCTGATTGGTGTGGTTAATGTGTCCTTAAACTCCCATTATCCAGTTGCTTGTTTTCTTAAATTATTATCCTCTTTTAATGACTAAAGCATAAGTTCTTCCTTTCTATTGCTCTATATAGTCACGTTGTAGTGTGGCTCAGATCTACCCTCTGAGTGCCTTATTAACCCCCATACTCTTTGCTTTTGAGAACATTCATTCTATTGTAAATATATTTCATGTGTCCCTGACCTTTTCCTTAATACTTTTTAACTTTAATTTTCTATACTTTTATTGAGAGCTACTATAGTCTAGTTGTTCTTTGAGGAGGATTATACTTGTCCTTGCTTCACATTGCTACTAGGCACTTTTAAGGTTATTCTGTTATCACTCTATAGTCTCTCTTAACTTTTAGTCTTATCAGTTTATGCCATCCTAACTTCAGGAGATTGTCAACTAACCTCACATACTCTCCCACTTTCCTCAAAGACTTTAACAACTAAATCTCAAATATCCTACAAATCTTTGCTTTTTTTCAGAGAATTAGAAATAGATATTACATGCCTCATTTTTATCTTAACACTGTGAGGTAGCCATTATGTCCTGCTGCCCATCTTTTAAAATAAAATTATGGAGAGAGGATTCTAAGAAGTTGAGTATCTTTCCACACTTGTCACACAACTAGTAAGTGCCTAGGTAATCAGGGTTTTCTGATTATAAACTCACATTTATATTGTCTTCCTTGGCTTCCAAGTAAACCTTTCTGTCACTTAGAATGTCATTAGGTTTATTTGAATTATGTTGGGGTAAACAAACATAATATTTAACTCTGTTGTAAAAGGTCCAAATTTTAAGGTAAAAATAAGTACAATTGAGGGGGTTGGGGGGTTGCTATCTAGTATTTGCAAAGTAAAGCTAAGCTATCTTATAAAATGTTTTTTATTGTAAAGTATTCTAATGCAATATAATCAAGTAATTTAAAATTACAGATAGGTTGTAGTTTTACCTTTTATTTCTGATATTCAGCGATGGCCTGAATTATATTGCCTGTATTAGTTGCCTGGGGCTGCTGTAACAACTTACTATAAGCTGGGAGGCTTAAAACAAAAGAAATTTATTCTCTCACAGTTCTGGAGGCTAGAAGTCTGAAATCAAGGTGTCAGCAAGACTTGAAGACTCTAGGAAAGAATCCTTCTTTGACTCTTCCTGGCTTCTGGGCAATCCTTGCTATGCCTGGGTTTGTAGACACATCACTGTAGTCTCTGCCTTTGTTTTCACATGGCATTTTCCCTTGTGTTTCTCTGTGTCTTCACATGGCCTTCTTAAAAGGACACCAGTCTCAGATTTTGGAGCACCCTGATCCAGTATGATCTCATCTTAATTAGTTATATCTGAAAGACTCAAATATTTCCAAATAAGGCCCATTCATAGATACCAGAGGTTGAGACTTCAACATATCTTGTTCAACGTATCAAATTGTGAGTTGACACAGTTCAGACTGCAACTTGGCCATATGTATTAACCAATTAAATTTTTCTCATATTGCCAAATATGTATTAAAAATAGAAGTTAACTCAAAACTTGGGTAGCAGGAAATAACTTTTGTCTTCATTTTTCTTTGGAGAATTAAACTTAACTGAGCAGACTATAAAAAGTTCATGAATTCTGTATTTTAATTTTGGTAAAGCATTTAATAGTCTCATTATATTCAGATGGATACAATGATGAAATATAGGCTGTGTGACTTTACTTACAGTGAGTGTTGATAATGTCTGTGTTCCAACCTGAAAGGGAGTCTCTTATGTCTTAGGAAGTTTTTCAAAATACAGTCACCCCTCCATATCTGTGGATTCTGCATCTGTGGACTCAACCAGTTGCAGATTGAAAATATTCAAGAAGGAAAAATTGCATGCCTACTGAACAAGTATTGTGTCTGTACTGAATACTTACAGACTTCTTTCTTTTCATTATTTCCTAAACAGTACAACTATTTACATAGCATTTACATTATATTAGGTTTTATAAGTAGTCTAAAGATCATTTAAAGTATACAAGAGGATGTGCATAGGTTATATGCAAAAACTACACCATTTTATGTCAGTGACTTGAGCATCTGAGAATTTTGATATCCAAGGGAGGTCCTGGAACCAATACCCCATGGATACTGAGGGACAACTGTCTTGTCTTAGCTCCAGCTGTTATCAGTGACTTTCTGGAGTTTATTTATGTTTGTTTTGTTTTTTAATATTCAAGACAGTTTAAGGAGAGACATCAAAGAAAACAGACATAGTACTGGAGATTGTCAAGGTATGAATAGCAGCACCAACCAGTGGGCAAAGGAATCTTGTGTAACGGCTTCTAACTAGATTTTGTGGACCAATACAAGAAAATGTATATCTATTTGAGAGGGGCGGGCCGTGTGGACAGGGAAAAGGGCTGGGTATAAAAACTGACCTAGAATTACATTTTTTAATTTTGCTGAATAAAGACATCCAAAAACAAAACAACCTCTGTTATATCTGTTTTTATCATTTCATAAAGGAAAGGCTGTTTTGACAAAATGGAATAAAATAATCTCAGAATAAAGGACACATTTTAAAATGGAATAAATTTAGCTTTAAAAGTTCTTTTCTACGTTGTCCATGACTAGAAAATTTTGTCACAGAATAGCAATGACTTCTGGCAAGCATTGATGATCTGAGGTATTTCCAAACACATTTTTGAAAATGGCTTACCACACTGAGTAGAGAGGCAAATAGAGTGGGAATGGAGCAATGAAATTGGGTATCTGGTAGGATTTAAAGGATTTGAGAACACCAGTGAAAATGAAGAGCAGATTTATCTTAGGAAAGAGCTTGAAGGGTAGTTCCTACTTGGGGAGGTAAATGTGTTTTGGATTTTAGAGGTGGAACAGTTTTAAGGGTTGACCTTGCTCATGGGTGGCTTTCCATAGAATTAAGATGGAGGTCACAGGAGGAGAAGCGCTGTTAAGCTTACATGGTAAAAAGGTTTTATTGTGAATGAATGCTATAGGATAAATGCCATCAGAGCATGAATTCCAAAGGATGATAATGGAGTGGGGGAGAAGCATATTGAATGATCTGGGTGCTGAAGTCATTAAGCAAATTATGAATATATTCAGATGTTAGTGGAATATAGCAACAAGTACGGAAGTGAGAATCAGTGTGTACTGTGGTTTGGAGCATAGTTTCAAGTTCTACCACCTGCTATGTAGCCTGGGAAAATTATTTGACAGTTCTGTGCCTCATTTCCTCATCAAAAAGTAGGATTAAAAATAGTACCTGCTGCTTCATAGAGTCATTTACAAGATTAAATGAATTAATGTTTAAAGAGCTTCAAATAATACATAGCACAAAACATGAGAGATGGTTGAGAAATATGGTAAAACATGATACTTCTGTAACCTGTGAGTCTCAGAAATGACTAAGGATTGGAATGGAACTGCTGCCAATAGAAAGTCAGGTTTTATAAAGAGAGCAGACAGCAATTTCTTTTAGAAAAGCTAGAAGTTATTGGATACCTTGTTTATGCCAGACAGTGACTTTTACAGTAGGTTGGCAAGTATGCAAAATGGAATGAATTTCTTGGAGGTAGGTTAGTGCTGAGCTTTCAGGAATGGGACTGGTGGAGTAGCTGAGGGGCGAGGTGCTCCATTCTAGAGTGATATCCCCTGGAAAACAGGGATGGAGGAAGCTAGAGATGGGTAGGGAGCCACATGATATATTCCAGCTAGACTTTCAAGGGAGGAGTGTTGAATAGGTTGTATGTATTATTAGGAGATTTGTAAAACTAACTGCTTGCCGTATCTTTATGCTTATATATAAATTAAAAGAGCATTTAGAAAGCTCATTATACAAATATAACATTTATATAAACTTTTAGAAATGTAATTCACTGTTTTATTCATTTGTTTAACAGTGCTATACTGACTATGTGATGGCCACTGTTCTAGGTCCTGGGACAGTAGACAACAGGAAAATCCTTCTTGTGGATCTTATTTTTATATATTTACTTACCTAAGTATGACATACTGCTGTGATTTGAAAGATGTGCTACTGTGGTGTTTCTGGGAAAATTTCCTTCCTTCCTTTTCTCAATAAATATTGAATACCTGTTCGCTAGGCATTGGAGATACAAAGATCAAGTTAGACATGGTTCCTGCTCTAACAATCCGGTGGAGGAAACAGAAAAAGAGGCAATTAGAAATAGTGTGATAAAGGTACAACGTTCTAGAAGCAGATAGACTTTGAAGGCCATGGAAAGTTTTTTTGTTCCCCCTGCTTGCTCAAGGTAGAGATGAGTAGACTGGACCTTGAAGAGTAAGTAGGAGTTAGTCAAATGTAGAGATGCGGTAGGGGGAAGAAAAAATATTTCTGGCAAAGAGAAT